>NC_000004.12:109527441-109678956 GCF_000001405.40 Homo sapiens
AATTGAAGGAACATGTGAAATGTATTTTTCTATCTTAAAAACTGAAGCTTGGCTGGTGGCAGTGCGTCCGCCTGTAATCCCAGCATTTTGGGAGGCTGAGGCGGACGGACCACGAGGTCAGGAGTTTGAGACCAGGCTGGCCAACATGGTGAAACCCCATCTCTACTAAAAATACGAAAAAATAGCCGAGCGTGGTGGCAGGCGCCTGTAATCGCAGCTTCTCAGGAGACTGAGACAGGAGAATTGCTTGAACCTGAGAGGCGGACGTTGCAGTGAGCCGAGACCGCATCACTCCAATCACTCCACTCCAGCTTGGGCAACAGAGTGAGACTCTGTCTCAAAAAAAAAAAGAAAGAAAGAAACTGAAGCTAGGATTTTCTCTTATTTAAAAAGCATATGTTTTACATTTTTATTTACTGCATTGTGAATCAGACTGTCCTCACATTTCTTCCTTAATCTTACTTTCAAAATCTTTGAGGGAATTCATAATCTCTAAAAATGTGGTAAAAACTGAAATGTCCTTCAAATAATATATGCACAATCCATGGTACACTCATACAATAGAATATAATGCAGCAATAAAAAGGAATGAACTGTCAATACTTAAACAAACATGGATGCCTCTCAAAGACATTGTGCTGAATAAAAGAAGCTAGACTCAAAAAGCTGCATAGGCCAGGTGTGGTGGCTCATGCCTGTAATGAGCTCATTCCAGGTGGGCTCATTCCCAACACTTTGGGAAGCTGAAGTGGGCGGATCACTTGAGGTGAGGAGTTCAAGACCAGCCTGGCCAACATGGTGAAACCCTGTCTCTACTAAAAATACAAGAAAAAAATTAGCTGGGCGTGGTGCTGCACCCCTGTAATCCCAACTACTTGGGAGGTTGAGGCAGGAAAATCCTTTGAACCCAGGAGGCAGAGGTTGCAGTGAGCCGAGCCGAGGTCTCGCCACTGTACTCCTGCCTGAGTGACAGCGTGAGACTGCATCTCAAAAAAAAAAAAAAAAAGCTACATACAAATGATTCTATATAAATGACATTCAGGGAAAGGGAAAATTATCAAATGGTGACTAATTGGGATTGAGACTGAGGGAGGGTTTTACTGCAAAGGGGCAAGTATAGGGGGATAATTTTGTAGTGATGGAACTATTGTGTATCCTGATTGTGGTAGAGATTACATGGCTATGCATTTGACACATAACCACTATAGAACTGTACTTAAACTAATTATATGTAAGTCTAAAAAAATCCTTTTGAGAATTAACATAGCACTTAAATGTTTTCAATGAATTTGCCTTGTAGATGAACTTAGACATGAAACAAGCCTTGCTATTTCCCATGTAGTCCTAGAGAAAGAGAGTTATTAATACTAATTTGGGAAAAATTATAATAGCATTTACCGAAGGATCCAAATTTTTTTAAATAACAGAAGCATTTAATCAGTCCTGGTGTGGTGGCCCATGCCTGTAATCCCAGTACTTGGGAGGCTGAAGCAAGTGGATCACTTAACTTCAGGAGTTCAAGACGAGACTGGTCAATGAAGTGAGACCCTGTCTCTACTAAAAATACAAAAATTAGCTGGGTGTGGTGGTGCACACATGTGGTCCCAGCTACTCAGGAGGCTGAGGCAGGAGAATCTGTTGAACCCGGGAGGCAGAGGTTGCAATGAGCCAAGATCGCACCACTGCACTCCAGCCTGGGAAACAGAGGGAGACTCTGTCTCGGGGGTGGGGGGAAAAAGAAGAAGGATTTAATCAGATTCTCTTAAATATTTAACTAAAATCAAAAGCTTGTATATCAGATTTATTTCTTAATTTTAACTTTTGTTTTTGATTCAGGGAGTACATATGCACGTTCGTTATGATGGAATCAGTTGTACCCCAAACCTCAGGATTCAGATTTTTTAAGTATAATTTTATATATAGATTTTGAATTAATTATGCCATAACCAATTGTTTTTTAATATAATTCTATTTTTAGTGCTTGGGCATATATATTATAGGTTATCCCTATTTTAATAGAATATATTATTGTAGAAAAATAAGTTTCACGTTACCTGTGTCTTAATGGCTGCATGAAAACTTGTGTTTATTTTTCCCTTTCAAAAAATTTGTTGGCTTGGAATGCTTTACAAAAATTGTAGAGGATCACAAGGTATAATTCAGATTGCAGAAATTACATTGGTTGAGCAGAAAAAAATGATACATGTGACTTGGTGTTTGAGTAATGGAAACCTTCCCAAGGCTTTTTCAGAAGTAAATGGAAAAATATGCATTTCACTAATATCAATAGGGGCTACATGTTTTGGGGTTTGTTTGTAGACAGGGTCTTGCTCTGTCGCCCATGCCAGAGTGCACAATCACAGGTTACTGCAGCTTCGACCTCCCAGGCTCAAGCAGTCCTCCTACTTCAGCCTCCCAAATAGCTGGGACTACAGGCACGTGCCACCATGCCCAGCTAATTTTTTTATTTTTTGTAGAGACAAGGTCTCACTATGTTGCCTAATCTGGTCATGAACTCCTGGGCTCAAGTGATCCTCCCACCTTGGCCTCCCAAAGTGCTGGGATTACAGGCATGAGCCACCATGTCCAGCCTGGCTAAATGTTTTTAGACTTAAGAGATTAAAACAAAAATGTCCAAAAGAATCTAGACTTGTTCTGATTGTCAGATTTATTTCAGAAAAAAATGTATAAGAAGACATTTGAAATGAGGGAGCTGATGAAATGCATTTTTCCATCCTAAAAACTTAGCTGAATTTTGTTTCTTAAATAATGCGTATAAATTTTCTCTCTTATAGTGCCCATTGGATTCTAATGGTTAAAATACCTTTCACTTTGGTTGCTTTTTAGCTGTGGATCGGTCCGTTTCATCAAGTCTGTCAGATGCAAGAGATGCCTTAGTGAATGCTGTAGTGGACTCATTGTCTGCATATGGCTCAACTGTCTCAAATTTACAGCACTCTGCATTGATGGCGCCCAGCTCCCTCAAGTTGTTTCCTCTCTATGTTTTGGCCCTTCTCAAACAGGTAGCTTTTTATACATTGCTATATTTAATATTGTTTTTTAAAATTCTCAGATATGTACATGAAGAAAGGAAATCTAGGTTGTTTTCTAATACTTAACTAGAGGATTATTCACTTTAGCATTGAAAGAGTTTTGAAGAATAGAAAAAGATCAATGGGGCCATGCATGGTGGCTCACGCCTGTAATCCCAGCACTTTGGGAGGCCGAGGTGTGCGGATCAGCTGATGCCAGGAGTTTGCAACCAGCCTGGCCAACATAGTGAAACCCCGCCTCTACCAAAAATACAAAAATTAGCTGGTGGCACGCGCCTGTAATCCCAGCTACTCTGGGGGCTGAGGCAGGAGAATTGCCTGAACCTGGGAGGTGGAGGTTGCAGTGAGCCAAGATCATGCCGCTGCACCCCAGCCTGGGCAACAGAGCGAGACTCCGTCTCAAAAAAAAAAAAAAAAAAAAAAAAAGAAAAGATCAGTGGAAAATGAAGGTATACAAATACATGATGACTTTAGTGAAACCATATTCTCTCTTCTTTAATGTGTGTGAGCAGTTTGCATAATGGTGCAGTCATAGCTCACTCTTAATATGTCCTCTGGAAAGAGACTCTTTAAGGACAGGAACTAATATTAAGCATCTTTCCATGTCTCTGGCACCATAAAAGGTGTCAATGCATCATTTTATTTAATCCTTTCAACAACCTAAAGAGGTATTATTTTCCCTATTTTTCTCATGATGACAGTATAGCTCAGAGGAGCTAGGTAACTTGCTCCAGCATCACATACCTATTAAATGTCAGAGCTGAGAATTGAATCTAGGTCTGTCTGATTTAAAGGCCATGCTTTTTCCATGATTGACAGTGTATATTTGTTTTAATATTTGTCCACCATATTTGTATTTTACTTGAAAACGTTTATCTTTTTCCTTGTAGAAAGCATTTAGAACGGGTACAAGCACACGGCTGGATGATCGTGTATATGCCATGTGTCAGATAAAGTCTCAGCCACTTGTTCATCTAATGAAAATGATTCATCCCAACTTATACAGGATAGACAGATTGACAGATGAGGTATGTATTTTAGTGCATTTGAAATGTTTAAATTTGAATATATTTGAGTGTCTTGTTCTACAGCTAAGATGATAATATACTATCAACTGGTTTTTCTTTTTAACTCTTTTTCCCCCTTGTGGTAGTAATACATTAAATAAGGACACTGGCTGTGGATCTGATTGGATGGCAGGACTCTTAAATACCATCAGTGGTTAAGTAGTTTTAAAAAATAGTTTCATATCAGAAGTAATTTGTCTTGTAGGTTTGCTTATAATATGTATTACAAAGCTAAGTTGTAGAGTGGACATTTCCATTTATATTTTGTAGATATTGACTGCTTCTCTTTATTTTCTTTTTTTTAAATTTTATTTTAAAGACAGAATCTTGCTGTGTCACCCAGGCTGGAGTGCAGTGGTGTGATCTCGGCTCACTGCAGCTTCTGCCTCCCAGGTTCAAGCAATTCTGCTTCAGCCACCCAAGTTGCTGGGATTACAGGCACATGCCACCACGCCTGGCTAATTTTTGTACTTTTAGTAGAGACAGAGTTTCACCATATTGGCCAGGCTGGCCTCAAACTCCTGACCTCAAGTGATCTGCCCATCTCGGCTTCCCAAAGTGCTGGGTTTACAGGCATGAGCCACCACACCTGGCCAATATTGACTGCTTTTGATAAGATCAGTTGCAATTTTGATTATATAGTAAACCAAATCTGGTATCCAATAATAATTTTAATGTGCAAATATGTAGTGTCTTTTATCTTCCCTGTGTGAAAACTGTATTCTTTGGAATTAGTATTCCAAACATAATGTTATGTTGCCAAAGAAATGTAAAAAAAAAAGCTGGCTATGCAACAGAGCCAGTAGTCACACTTGTAATATATTCTGACCCCACCCTAAAAGGGAAGGGAATGTGACAGATCATTTTATGTATTCATGTTTTTACTTTTTAAATTTGAATACATTTGAGTGTGTTGATTCTACAGCCAAGGTGGTAGCATATAATCAGTATTTTTTATATCATGCAAAACTCCCAAGTGTTATTTTCCAATGCTTCATAAAGGGTTAGTGACCATTAGCTCCCAAACTGTGATGATAGTAATGTAATCTCATTCACATTCTCTCTTTTTCTTTTCAGGGTGCAGTACATGTTAATGACAGGATTGTACCACAGCCACCTCTTCAAAAATTGTCTGCAGAGAAGCTGACAAGAGAAGGTGCTTTCCTTATGGACTGTGGCTCTGTAAGCACCCTTTACTGGCAAAGCTTAACACTGTTTGAGCTGACCAAAAACAAAGAAACACTTATAGGGTCCAGCTGTTATCACAGAGCAAGTAGTGAAAGGTGAATTAGGATTAGGAGCTGAAATTGGTAACTAGCACTGGAGGTCAATTTACTTTAAACTTTTCTATTTGGACTTCATTTTATATTGATGTTATTGATATTTGTATTGATAATACTGATAGAGTAATACATTTTAATATGGATTATTTACTGTCATGAATTATATATACTTGATGAAGAGAACTAATGAGGTAAATTCCTATATTTAGGGACTTTACCATCTAGAGTCTAGAATTTAAAAGTATTTCAAGAGTTTATCTAGTTCAACTTACATCCATTGTCAGAAATCTCATTAATGATTAGGAGTTCAAGAGAAATCACTGGGCAGGGGTAGTTGTTGAAGGGAGTTAGAATGGTTAAGATGGCTTCAAAATGATGCCTTATGAGCAGAAAAAGGATTTGGATAGCCACAGAAGAGGGAGAAATGCATGAGTGAAAATACACAGACAGTAATGAAATAGTGGATGGGAAATACAGTGAGTCAATTATACTGATTAAAGGATTATATTTCTATTGGGAAAATAAGTGCAAAAGGTAAAATATATTTTATGGTAAGCCTTAACATTTAATCAAAGACGATGTGAACCACTCTGGATTCTTACATATAGATTCACAATGTAACAATTATAGATTTCCTTTTTACTCTTCTGTTTGTTTCTACCTTATTTGAGGTGATAATTTTGAGAACATTAATGAAAATGAATTAACTATTAGGGAGTTTTAATATTTTGTTGCTTTTTCTTTTTAGGTTTTTTACATTTGGGTTGGGAAAGGCTGTGACAATAACTTCATAGAGGATGTGCTTGGATATACTAATTTTGCATCAATACCACAGAAAATGGTCAGTAGATTTTATACACCTTTAACTTTTTGTTTGCTCATTTTTTTTTATTGATGTAAAATTCATGTAATATTCACCATTTTAAAATGTACAATTCAGTAATTTTTGGTATTACACAGTGTTTTACAGCCATTACCACTATTTAGTTTCAGAACATTTCTTATCACCCTAAAAGAACCCCATATCTCCCAATTCTTCCCTATCCCTGTCCCCAGGCAACTACTAATCTACTTTCTATCTATGGATTTGCCTGTTCTGGATATGTTATATAAATGGTAATATGTGGCCTTTTGTATTTGGCTTCTTTCACTTTCCTTAATGTTTCTAAGATTCATTGATGTTGTAGCTTATATTAGTAGTTCTTTTTTTTTTTTTTAGACAGAGTCTTGCTCTGTCGCCCAGATTGTAGTGCAGTGGCTCAGTAATGGCTCACTATAGCCTCGACCTCCCATACTTAAGTGGTCCTCCCACTTTAGCCTCCTGAGTAGGAATCAGTAGTAACCTTACTCCTTATGTCAAAATAACTTTCAAATGGATCAAACATTTAAACGTAAAAAAGGAAACCATGCAGATCACTAGAAGAAATATTTGTGGTTTTTTTTTTTATACTATTAAAATGGGCCAGGCGCAGTGGCTCACGCCTGTAATCCAAGCACTTAAGGAGGCAGAGGCAGGCAGATCACAAAGTCAGGAGATTGAGACCATCCTGGTGAACACGGTGAAACCCCATCTCTACTAAAAATACAAAAAAATTAGCCGAGCATGGTGGCGGGCGCCTGTAGTCCCAGCTACTCTGGAGGCTGAGGCAGGAGAATGGTGTGAACTCGGGAGGCGGAGCTTGCAGTGAGCCGAGATCGTGCCACTGCACTCCAGCCTGGGTGACACAGCGAGACTCCAACTAAAAAAAGAAAAAAAAATTAAAATGGGTAAGGCCTTTGTGTGTGTCAGTGATTCAAAAAATCAATAAATCTGAAAGCGCAAATATAAAACATTTCTATTTGGTAAAAATAAATAAAGTAAAAATGCAAACAACAAACTCTTACGATTATCTGTAACTCAAAAGACTGAAAACGGGCTAACTTCTCTATAAAAAGTTCTCTTACCTCAGCCTCCTGAGTAGCTGGGACCACAGGAGTATGCCACCACACTTGGCTAATTAAAAAAATTTTTTTTCTAGAGATGGGGTATCCCTGTGTAGCCCAGGCTGGTCTCGAACTACTGGGCTTAAGCAGTCCTCCTGCCTTGGCCTCCCAGAGTGCTGGGATTACAGGTGTGAGCCACGGTGCTTGGCCAGTTTGTTCTTTTTTATGACTGAAAAATAGTCCATTGTATGGACATACCACATTTTGATCACCCATTCATCCACTGATGGATATTTCAGTTGTTTTTGCTTTGGGACTATTGTGCATAGTGCTACTATGAATGCTTATGTACGAGTTTTTGTGTGAACATATGTTTTCAGTTCTCTTGGGCATATTCCTAGGAGTAGAATTACTGGGTCACATGATAACTCTATGTTTAACTGTTTGAGGAACTGCCAAACTGTTTTCCAACAACTTTAACTTTGGGTTTAAATTATTTTGCTGGGCCGGACGCTGTGGCTCACACCTGTAATCCCAGCACTTTGGGAAGCCTAGGTGGGTGTATCACGAGGTCAAGAGATCAAGACCATCCTGGCCAACATGGTGAAACCCCGTTTCTATTAAAAAATACAAAAAAAATTAGCCAGGCATGGTGACGGGTGCCAGTAGTCCCAGCTACTCGGGAGGCTGAAGTAGGAGAACCACTTGAACCTGGGAGGTGGAGCTTGCAGTGAGCCAAGATTGCGCCACTGCACTCCAACCTGGACGACAGAGCAAGACTCCGTCTAAAAAAAAAAGTGGCTGGGCGCGGTGGCTCATGCCTGTAATCCCAGCACTTTGGGAGGCCGAGGTGGGTGGATCAAGAGGTCAGGAGATCGAGACCATCCTGGCTAACATGGTGAAACCTTGTCTCTACTAAAAATACAAAAAAACAATTAGCTGGGCGTGGTGGCAGGCGCCTGTAGTCCCAGCTCTTAAGGAGGCTGAGGCAGGAGAATGGTATGAAACCGGGAGGCGGAGCTTGCAGTGAGCCGAGATCACGCCACTGCGTTCCAGCCTGGGTGACAGAGCAAGACTCCGTCTCAAAAAAAAAGTTACTTTGCTTATACTAAACACAAATTTTTCAGTAGGATTTTATTGAATGTATGCTAACCAATACCAAGGAAATATGATTCTGAAAACAGATTTGTATAATTAATTAATTTAAAGGGAAGGCTGGCCTAGCTTATTGTTAGGTAATGTAAATATGTCCTTTTTCCTGAAATTAATATAAATTCAGTGTAATCCTTATTACAATCTGTCATTGTTTGATTTTTTTTTAAATGACAGATAATCCAAGAGTTCATTGGTAAAACTCAACAAATGAGGATAATAAGAAAATGAAAAGGGAGAATAATGTCAGCAAAGGGGGAAATATATGAAAAATAAATTCTAAGTAAAATAGTAAACCTTATTCTAAAGCTGTAGTTATTTAAGTACCATGATACTGGCACAGTAAACAGATCAGTGGGACAGAATAGAGTTCAGAAACAGATCTAATTAATGAAAAATACAGTGTGGTAAAGATTGCATTTCAAATTACTGTGGGGAAATGGAATATTAGAAAAATAATCTTGGGACCACTGATTAGTCATTAAGGAAAAAACAAGACTGGATATTTACCTTATTCCTTATATCAAAATAACTTTCAAATGGATCAAACATTTAAATGTAAAAAAGGAAACCATGCAGATCACTAGAAGAAATATTTGTGAATTTTTTGTTTTGTTTTGTTTTTTTGGAGATGGAGTCTCACTCTGTCACCCAGGCTGGAGTGCAGTGGCGCAATCTTGGCTCACTGCAAGCTCTGCCTCCCGGGTTCGCGCCATTCTCCTGCCTCAGTCTCCTGGGTAGCTGGGACTACAGGCGCCTGCCACCACGCCCAGCTAATTGTTTGTATTTTTAGTAGAGATGGAGTTTCACTGTGTTAGCTAGGATGGTCTCGATCTCCTGACTTTGTGATCCCCCCACCTCGGCCTCCCAAAGTGCTGGGATTACAGGCGTGAGCCACTGCGCCTGGCCAAATTTTTTTTTTTTTTATAATATTAGAATGGGTAACGCCTTTGTAAGTCGGTGATTCAAAAGATCAATAAATCTGAAAGCACAAATATAAAACATTTATATTTGGTAACAATAAATAAATAAATAAAGCCAAAATACAAACAATAAAATCTTAAGATTATCTGTAACTCATAAGACTGAAAAGGGCTAACTTCTCTATAAAAAGTTCTCTTACAAATCTTTGAGAAGACCTTCCTTACTTTCTGCCTCCTCCAGACAAAACTGGGTAAAGGATTTTAATAGGCAATTCATAAAAGAAGAATAAAGTAGAGGTCATATAAAACAATATTTAACCTCACTCATAATTAGGAAAAAAAATAGTAATTTAGCATTTCTTTCATTTACCAGATTGTCAAAAATTTTAAAATTTGATAATAGGCAATCATGTAGACAGTTTAGGACAGTGGACACTGTTGAGCATTATTGACTGGAATATATAGTACTTATATAACCTTTTTAGAGGGCCATTTGACAATGTCTGTGAAAATCATGTTCTTTATGACACGGTAAATTATTCTGCAAAGAATGTGTCCCATAGATATATTCATAGAAGTAGGCATATATACACACATGCTTATAGTATTAAATAATAGCTGTGCATTTATTAAAAAGAATACAGTCTGGGGCACTGTGCCATGCACCTGTGGTCCCAGCTACTTGGGAGGCTAGGAGGCTGAGGCAGGAGGATAGCTTGAGCCCAGGAGTTCAAAGCTGTAGTGTACTATGACTGCACTTGTGTACAGCCATTGCACTCCAGTCTGGGCAACCTAGCAAGACCCCATCTCTTAAAAAGAAAAAAAGAAGAAGAATACAGCCTGAAGTGAATAATATGCATGATATGATCCCCATTTGTATTTTCAAAAATGTGTTTGTATACTTAGTAATAATTTAGAAAACATCTGAAAAAATTCACATCAAAATGGAAATGGTTTTTAAAATATTGACCGGAATTACAAACATAATTATTCCAAACTTGTCTATTTAAATTTTGTTATATACTACATTTTTGAATTATTTAATTTACTGTTAATTTGCTATTTAATTTACAGTTGGCTTTGAAAAAGGAAAGTAAATCTTACCTTTTTATGTATATAAAAAATAATAGACTTTTAGGTCCTTTTAAAATAGTCTCGCGTATAGTTTTAAAATATATTTACATATCCACACTGTACTTTAAAATTCTTTGCCTTTAAATTAAAGAAAACATGAAATTCTCCCAGAATGGCTGTTTTTAGAATAGGATATAATCATATATAATTGCTAAGGGAATTTGGAATTTAATGGTATCCCCCTTCATTTGAACATTTCCTCTAGAAGAAACATAAAGCCGCCACACAATACTGGTGACATGCTAATCGTTGTTTATGTTTTATTGACTTACCAAGAAAAATATAGTCAGTTAAAATGTCAGTGACATACTTGTCATTGCACATATTTTATTGACTTATCCAGAAAAATATAAACAGATTTTTCAACAGTTTAAATTTTATTTGTGTAGTTGCTGCTGTTGAGGCTAAGAAATAGAGTGCTGGCAGTTGGGGGTGATGGTAGGAATCATGATTTTGTTCTATTACTGCTGAAGTCTATGAGAAAGGAAAGTTTCCTAATTGTATTTCTTTTACCAGACACATCTTCCAGAGCTAGATACACTTTCATCAGAAAGAGCCAGATCCTTCATAACTTGGCTTAGAGACAGCAGACCATTAAGTCCAATCCTTCACATAGTAAAGTAAGTACTTTTGTAACTTAATTATGAAGTTGTCTTTCCTATGTAGTCTGTGGAATTGCTTGTCTTCAAAGCAAACTTTAAATAGTAGCAAAATATATTCTGATGGTAAAATGTTGTTACTTGATTTAAATCCCCTGTATTCCATTTTCTGACATCTCCATATATTAGTAATTTTTAATTTTCTTTCTTTCTTTATTTAATTTGAGATAGAGTCTCACTCTGTCACTCAGGCTGCAGTGCAGGGGTGCTGCTATCACAGTTCACTGCAGCCTGGACCTCCCATGCTCAAGTAATCCTCCCAACTCAGACTCCCGAGTAGCTGGGACTGCAGGCACTTCCCTCCACACCTGGCTAATTTTTAATTTTTTTTTTTTCTTTTTTTGAGACAAAGTTTCGCTCTTGTCACCCGGGCTGGAGTGCGATGGTGCGATCTCAGCCCACTGCAACCTCTGCGTCCTGGATTCAAGCGATTCGCCTGCCTCAGCCTCCCAAGTAGCTGGGATTACAGGCGCCCACCACCACGCCCAGCTAATTTTTGTATTTTTAGTAGAGACAGGGTTTCACCATGTTGGCCAGGCTGGTCTTGAACTCCTCACCTCAGGTGATCCACCCACCTCGGCCTCTCAAAGTGCTGGGATTACAGGCGTGAGCCACCACGCCCGGCCAATTTTAAAAATTTTTTTTTTTTTTTTAAGCAATGGGGATCTTTCTATCTTGCCCAGGCTGGTCTTAAACTTCTGGGCTCAAGCAGTCCTCCCACCTTAGCCTCTTAAAGTGCTGAGATTACAGGTGTGAGCTGCCAGCCCAGTAATTTTTAAAATATATACTATTTTTAGAAATATGCACTTTTATTTTATTTGTATAAATTTACAGGATACAAGTGTAATTTTATGAGCTAGATTGCAAAGTGGTGAAATCAGGGCTTTTAAATACGTTTAGACAAATGCCCTTTTCTTTCTTCCAGAGATGAGAGTCCTGCCAAAGCAGAATTTTTTCAGCATTTGATTGAAGACCGGACAGAGGCTGCATTTTCTTACTATGAATTTTTGCTTCATGTTCAGCAGCAGATTTGTAAGTGAAGTAGAATAAAATTGAATAAGAAAAAGATCTATAACCTAGGTAAAGCATAATCTGTCAGAGAAGCGCGTGAGAAATTTGAAATGAAGGCATTTGTTAATACAAGATGCAACGCACAGCACTCTGTCTGAGGCTTTGGTAAAAAGTAAAGGGGAAGAAAGAACTTGACAGATCTTTTTCAACTCAAATTAATGGTAACGATGATGCTGTTTCACCAAGTATATTTTGAATTGGTTTCTACACATTTCCAGTAGTATGGCAGTACAGTGCTCTGTTCATTGCAAGCTGGCAAATTTATGTAGCTATGTGGAATGATATGTCATAATGTAAAATTAGATAAATTCTTTTTTCTTATAATTAATATAACATTTCTGGACTTGAACTCTGGCAAGAGATGCCAAAAGGCATTGGTACCGTGTTATTTGTTTATATGAATTACTTTTTAACAAGGAATGTTTCTTATTCATTAAATGAATTCAACATTTTCTCTGTAAAAACAATAGAGTTTCAGTACATGAACTATAGAAAAAAATCTATATATAATGTACATAAATGTTACATTTGTAAAGAAAATGTAAAAATGTAACTATAGCATATGAATTGCTTAAACTGTGCTGCATTGTTGGATGACAACTCTTTTTGTCACAGTTAGAGAATGAGGTTGACTAATGCATATTATGAATTGAGTCCACAAAGGAACACAAAACTCTTTGTAATTCTGTTAAATCTTTTATGTAGATTTATTTATGATCAGCCTACTAATTAAAACTATTTCGCTTGACAGTATGGTTTGGTGATTTTTTGGGGTTTTTGTTTGATTGGTTTTTTGTGGGGATTGGTGGGTTTTTTTACATACAGGATGTATTGAATTTACTAATTGGGGAAGTGCAGTGATACTGCATTTCAGTTAGTAATATATATGAATCAGGCCAGGCGCGGTGGCTCACGCCTGTAATCCCAGCGCTTTGGGAGGCCAAGGTGGGCAGATGACTTGAGGTCAGGTGTTCATGACCTGCCTGACCAACATGATGAAACCCCATCTCTGCTAAAAATACCAAAATTAGCCAGGGGTGCTGGCGGGCACCTGTAATCCCAGCTACTCAGGAGGCTGAAGCAGTAGAATCGCTTGAACCTGGAGGCTGAGGTTGCAGTGAGCTAAGATCACGCCACTGCACTCCAGCCTGGGCAACAGAGTGAGACTCCATCTTAAAAAAAAAAAAAAAGTAATATATATGAATCAATACACTTTCATTAGTCTGTGGACATTACCAAGTACTTATTCTGTTTGTATTCTAAAACAAATGGTGCTACTTTCAAAAATATTCTTAACTAGTAAGTATAATCTTAAATTGTCTTTCTTATTTACATTAGATATTTTTGCCTGCACACTTATAGCAAGAAAATTTTAGTAACACATATCACTATCCCATTTATTTAATTGACTTTAAGATTGCCATCTTGAATTTTGAAAGTGATTTTCTTCTGATCAAGAAACCTCTCATTCACTAACAACTTATTTACTATAAAAAACTCTTAAGGATCCATTAGATTATGGGACATAATTTTATTCTGTACACTATGAAAGTCCCCATCAACAAACTTTGGAAGGAAAAAGACTCTGCCAGGCATGATGGCTCATGCCTATAATCCTAGCACTTTGAGGGACCAAAGCAAGCGGATGGCTTGAGCCCAGAGGTTCGAGACCAGCCTGGGCAACATGGGGGAAACCCTGTCTCTACAAAAATACAAAAAAATTAGCCAGGGATTGTGTGCACCTGTAGTCCCACCTACTCAGGAGGCTAAGGTGGAAGGACATCCTGAGCCGAGGAGGTCAAGGTCGCAATGAGCTCTGACCACACCACCGCACTCAGTCTGGGAGATAGAGTGAAGCCCTGTCTCAAAAAAAAAAAGAAAAAAAAAGAAAAAGGCTTGCTGTGTAGTGGGTTATTTTTACTGTTTTTGTGCTTTCATGGATCTCATTTCTTTGGATAAAAATAAAAGTACTCTCACATTCCCTGCTGGAAATGAGAGGTTAAATGACTCACCCTAAATGACATTACTTACTAATTAGTGTCAATGCTAATAGTAAAAATCCAAATGTTCTCCCTACCCACAACCTACTCCCACCCCACCCCCCACCCACAGGACCATACTTGTCCCTATACCATGCTGCCTCTAGCAAGAGAGAATCTGAACAGTAAGAGAAACTAAGCCAGGCATGGTGGTGCCTTCCTGTAGTCCCACCTATTTGGGAGGCTGAGGCAGAAGAATCACTTGAACCTGGGAGGCAGAGGTTGCAGTGAGCCGAGATTGCACCACTGCACTCCAGCCTGGGCAAGAGCCAGACTTCAACTCAAAAAAAAAGAGAGAGAAACTTTAGTACTCTAAGGGCAACTAAATACTGCAATTTTACCATAAAAAGTATAATTCTTCTTTATAAAAGACAAAAATCTTTTGTCTGGATATTTTGTCTCTCATTCAATAAATATTTGTAAGCATTTAATGCTTGCCAGATATTGTTCCAGGCACAAAGTAAAATCTTCACTTCCACAAAGCTTATACTCTGAAGTGAGAACGTAGAAGACTGGGGAGAGGCAAAAATCATTTTATATAATTTGTAAGTGTGATATATAATTCTATGTAAGTATAGTGAATGTTATGAAGAAAAATAAAGCTCGGAAAGGAGATGGAAAATACTGTTTTTGATAGTGAGCAGGAAAGGCTCTTTTAAGAAGATGAGAGTTGAGCAGAGAGCTAAAGCCACATAGATACCTGGAACAAGAGCTGTCCAAATAGGAGAACTTTGTGGTAGATGAATGTAGAACTTACTTTGCGAGTGCTCTTTTCTCTGTGAAAGAAGCAACAGAATTATCAGCTGAAAGGGTGTAAGAGGGTTAGAGGTTTTGCAAAATAGTCTAGGAGAGTAAGATGTTGAATTTACTACTGGTATGTAATAGGATTGTGAGGACCCATCTTGGGCTGTGAGTCGAACTTAGAATGAAACTAATAAGCATAACTGTACCTCTTTCCTCTAGCTATGTTCAGTGCTTGGTAGGAAGTCGGATTTAACCACAGTTGGCTACAAGGAACAGAGGAGGAGCAAGAGAATTTAGGATGTATACAAGGGAGTGACTCATTTAAGCTACAAGAGCACAAAATGGGTGATGGATAGTGATGGGTAGAGATGGGTAGCGGGCTTAGTTGTTTGGAGGTCCCATTGAGGTTAAAAGCTATTAAGAGTATAGGTGTCAGAAAGAATGAGTTGGAAAGATAAAATGTAGTGGTTAGGATATGAAAAGCTTGGAATTGAGATTTGGGAGAAGTTTAGATAATGACAAGACTGGGGGAATGAGTGGTTGAGATGTTATTAAAGGTAACTAGAGGTAGGGAGGTGAGAACTTAGAGCCCAGGATTTCAAATGGATCATCTATTTGATTATTAAAATTATCCCCAAAAAATGACAGGAATAATGCTGGGGACACGGAGACTGTAAATGATTGCAATAAGGAGGAGTGGCAAGGGGATATGCTGAGGACCTGAGGTAGGCAAGGAGGAAGAAGAATCTGGATGCCAACAGAGGAGTAGAGGGATGCCTGCCTGGGGTTTAGGATCAAACACAGCCGTCCTTTGACAGGTTTGGAGGAAGGTAATATCCTCAAGACAGCCAGGTTTCAGTTAGCGTGTGTGGAGACTGACATAAACCAAAATATAGGCACGACGAGAGTAATCCTGATGGGAGGTGGATAATCCATTCTCATTGCCTCCTTATGGGACAAGTCTCTTTGGCCATTTGCTTTGTGAGGCAGGGAGTGTTGGGTGAGAGGAAGGGGTATGCTTGTCAGGAATTCTGTGAGCTGCTTTTTCAACTAACTAAAAAAAGGTAGTGGTTCTTAGTGTTATTGGTAGGGATGGGATCAGAATTTCCTGGGCGAGCTTTTTGGATACCTCAATTCATATTCACTACCTGATTAGGGGCTTGGCCAGAGATACATTAAAATGCATACATTAATGTATTAAAAGTATTCATACATTAATATGTATATATGTGTGTGGCAAATACTATTTGATAGCTATTTGGGGATTTGACTGTTACATATTCAACTTGTGAGGCTAGGAAAGGCACATATTAGCAAAGTGTTATATTAAAGAAACCGTGAGCCCTCCTCTTCTAAGTATCTTCTCACTAAAATACTTTTGAAGACATAGGAAAAGAAGAAAACTCACAACAAAGTTGAAAATAACATTGCAGACATCATCTAGATAGAACTAAAAATTACTGAAAGAAGACAATTTATGAAAAAAATAAACACTCAGCCGGGTGTGATGGCTCACGCTTGTAATCCCAACACTTTGGCAGGTCCAGGTGGGAGGATCTCTTGAGGCCAGGAGTTTGAGACCAGCCTGGGCGGCACAGCAAGACCCCATCTCCATAAAAAATAAAAAATTAGCCAGTTGTGGTAGTGTGTGCCTGTAGTCCTAGCTGCCTGGGAGGCTGAGGTGAGAGGATTACTTGAGCCCAGGAGTTTGAGGCTGCAGTGAGCTACAACTGCACCACTGTAATCCAGCCTTGATGACAGAGCAAGACTGTCTGAAAGAAAAAAAAAAATACAAATTTTTAAAGAAAAAAAATAACACTCAAGCCCTGTTTGGCACATGAAACCTGAAAAACAAAAATAGAAGATACTACATAATTCATTCATCTTTTGCCTCTGAATTCAGAGACAGGATCTGTATCAACCAGCAAATTGGTATCCTCCTCCTGCCTGCATTCTTATAATAACCATAAGAAGTAAGTACGTAATATAAAACAAGTGGGCAGGAAGTGTGTATGTGTACTTGGCTTAAGTGGAGAAGGTAGCCATAATCAGGGGACACAGAAGCTATTAATGTATTCATTGCCTTCAGATTTGGCATGGGCAGATCCAAAAATTAATTATTTTTTGTTTCCTTTAGTAAACAATGCACAGTTCTGTGGATTTTTACTTTTGGACCAATCAGCATTACTTACAAGTACTTACTAGTAATGTTATTACTTACTAATAAGTGAATTACAAAGGACCACTAAAATTTGTTTCCACAAATGAAAATCAGTGTTTTATTAGAGTTTGCTTAGGATTCTACTTATAAGATGCCTGGTCCCTGTACAAGGTTTGTAATTTTGCAAGAATGCACAAAAGTGTATATACAGATACTGTCACACAGCAGGTCAGACAACTGACAGAAACTATCCTACGGTCAGTACTCAAGCATTTTCTTATGAATGTATTATCTTGTTGGGAGGTGTTCATGGTTTTTCTGCTATTTTTGCATTTCAGATATGTATTATTTTAGCTTGATAGCCATTGAGATTGCTATAGATTATTTGATTTGTATATAATGATGTATGTATGCATATTTCACTATATTTTTCTATTTTTCTATAACTGGGTTTTAAATATTTTTGGTAGAAAAATAATTATACTTTCATTGCTAAAAATAAATATGCATAACCTACCCCTCTATATTGCTTATAACATTTTGATGATGTAGCCAGTGAATATGTGCTAATTTAAATAACTTTTATATAAAATTAAGCCAACTGCCGTATTATAACTGGTTTCTTTTTAACTTAATAGGATATTGTTTTATAATATTAAATCATATGTTTAAGCTCATTCTCTTTAAAAATAAACAATAAGCAATTTCTATATATTCCTCTCAAGTCTTTATTACTTAGGAATTTGCTTTAGAGCAGGGATTGTATTTTGGATTTTCTTTATACTTCTTATCCCACTTCACATATCCCCAGGTACTCTTCCCAAGACAGAATACATGGCAGAGACACATTTAAATTTAATTGAACAACTGCAAAAGCTTATTAGCCTTTCTTATAGTGGAGTCATTTCACAGTGACCCTTGGGAAATCTGTAAAACATTATACCAGTTAGGAGGACTTTTTCCCATTCTTAATGAAAGTTTTTATGGATCTTTTTCCCCTGTAGTCAATTTCTTTCAAATTCTGCTTCTTTGGGGCTTAGGTCTAATGACTTGCATAGTAACAATAGGAAACGCCTATTACATGCACTTCCTATGGAACCAGAAAAATTCTAATAGAGTGGAAGATACTGTGTCTCTAGCCTGTCTCCTATTAGTTATCAAAAGCTGGTAAGTAAGTAATTATGTGCAGAGTTAGGAATAATAGAGGTAAATGGAGAAATGGATGAATAAGATGTTTAACAAGAAAGGTCAAAACTTAAAGCTGAGTTATTTAATAACTAAGACCCTGAGTACTGTGTTCACAAGCAAAAAGTGGTCTTTCAAAAGGTTTTTACCAAAAATGTAGTGAACCTAAATCGTCTTCATAGCATTTATGGCACTCTTTTGGGTCATAATCTGGGAAGGAGTGAGGACAAAATTGGGGTGGAGAATGAGTAGGAACCAGAAGAATAACTTTGAAAGGAAAAGAAGGTAAATGTACATCATTACAGGGGCTGTCCTTTGTTCACATCCAGGCTTTGCAAATGCTGCTCCACTGCTTGGAAAACACTGTCTTTCATTCCCTTCCTGGCTTTCTTAGCACTTACTCCTCCTTATCCTTCAGAATTCAGCCTAGGGATCATTACCTCCTGGCAGCTTCTCCTGATGGCTGTCTCATCTGGGTTAAATACTCCTTCCTGTGTGTATCCATAACACATTCTCATCTCTACTGTAGCCCCCATCAGACTGTGTTACAATTGACATTCTCCCTCAAACATGGGAACCAGGTTCTCTTCGTCATAGTGCCCCCTATACCTGACATATAGTAGGCATTTAGTAAATGTTTGTTGAACCAATTTTTCCTAGAGACAGGGTCTTGCTAGGCTAGAGTGCAGTGGTATCGATCATAGCTCACTGCAGCCTCAAACTCCTGGGCTCAAGGGATCCTCCTGCTTCAGCCTCCTGAGCGGCTGGGACTATAGGCATGTACTACCATGCCTGGCTATTTTTGGTAGAGACAAGATATTGCTATGTTGCCCAGGCTGGTACTGAACTCCTGGGCTCAGGCGATCCTCCCACCTCAGCCTCCCAAAGCACTGAGATTACAGGTGTGAGCCACTGTGTCCAGCAGAACCAATGTTATTCCAAGCTAGACAGAAAATGCATTGAAGACCTGTGAATAAAAATAAAGACAGTTTCAGTTGGATAAGAGGAGAAACATACTATACTACACTAGATAGAAATTGAAAGAAAATCTGACATAGAATGAGAATGGTGCCAGAAGGTAGATAATAAACCTTATGAAAATTCAGGAGTATACCACCTCAAAGTTGAGTTTCAGTGGTCTGGAGCATCTTGCAAAATCCCCACTAATGTAGGAGACAAATTGCTGCTCCCTGTGCCACCTTCTATAATGCGAGGCACAGTGCTTGGTGGCTTTTTTTTTTTTTTGGAAGCTATGTATACAACATTTCAGTGTGTCACTGTACTCCATTACCAAGTAACCTGTAAGGCTGCCAATCTGAGGTGTGGTTAGAGCAAAAGAAGCCTCTACATCAACTCAGACTTCAGTGCAAACTGCTTTGCCACATGGGCTTTATTGACCCAGCAGATCCAACTTGGGAGTGTCTGCGGCAAATACAAATGCCACATCAAGCCTCAACTGGAGAGTCAGACTTCTCTAGGGTTTTAGAGCAGAGCCATACCCTCTTCTGCAAAAAAACAAAAAAAAAAAGCAAAAAAAAAAACTTACCTTTGTGAGAGAAGCTCTTATATTGCTATTAAGCTGTCTACTACAGGATGTCAAATGTCCTTGGGATCTATGCTGACCAGTGTGAACCAAGCAGTAGAAGTGAACATGCACAATAGCGATCTATCGTTAAGTGGCAGCTTAACGTTAGTATATAAGGGATTAGGCTCAGCAGATCCTGAAGTCAGTTGCACGAGCTGGCAGCTCTGACTCATGACACCTGCTCCTGCTGCATGGCTTCCTTTCCCTGCATTCGCATTTATGGCCTCATGGGGATGTTTTCCTATAATCAGTTAAGGGAGAAACTAAAACCTGAATTTAAGACAAAGTGCTGGCATCAACTGGTCTGCTATAGTATTAGTCTAATAATAAAGAAATCCTCTTTGTGGGCAAAACTTCAAGCAGTACATTGATCGCCACTTTGTCTAGACTATATAGATCTCAAAAGATGTAGATCTATGTAGCTTCATAGGCAATGGCAAATGACTAGATGACAAAGGTCTTGGTAGGAACAGGATTAGAAAATTGGTGACAAGGAGGTTTGGAGAAGAGGGATTTGAATGAACGTCACGAAATGGACACAGCAAATGAGATAATTATGTTCCATATCAATGCACCCCAAAGGGCATCTGCAGCAAAATTTGTCCATCTCAATCAGGTGGAGAAGGTGACCCATCCTGTGAATATCAGCCTCTTTCTGTAGCCACCCCAGTATTTGCTCAATGGTTCATGTACAAAGTTGCCATACTTGTAAAGATAGAAGCTATGTGTGGGCTAAATATTATGGATGTCCCTTCACCAAGGCTGATCTGGCTACTGCCACTGTTATTTCTAAGCATTGTCAGCTGAGACCTTCTTTGATTCCTCAATATGGCATCATTCCTTGGGGAAAACTAGTAGCCACCTGATATGTTGATTACATTGTACCCCTTTGATCATGGAGCATTTGTCCTCAATGGAATAGACAAACAACCTGGATATGGATTTGCCTGCCCTGCTTGCAGTGTTTCTGCTACCACCACCATCTGTGGGCTTACAGAATGCCTTCATCATTGCCATATGACCTCCACAACATTGCTTCTGATCAAGGAACTCATAGCAAAAGAAGTGTGTTAATGGGAATTCACTGCTCTTACTACAACCTGTCACCCTGATGTGGTTTGGATTTGTGTCCCTGCCCAAATCTCATGTCGAATTGTAATCCCCAAGGTTGGAGGAGGGGCCTGGTGGGAGGTGATTAGATTGGATCATGGGAGCAGATTTCCCCCTTGCTGTTCTTGTGATATTGAGTTCTTATGAGATCAGATTGTTTAAAAGTGTGTAGCACCTACCCCTGATCTCTCTTCCTTCTTCTCTGGTCATGTAAGACGTGCCTGCTTCCCCTTTGCCTTTGGCCGTGATTGTACATTTCCTGGGGCCTCCCCAGTCATGCTTCCTGTACAGCCTGTGGAATTGTGAGTCAGTTAAGCCTTTTATGTCTAAATTACCCAGTCTCAAGTAGCTCTTTATAGCAATGCAGGAACAGACTACTACATACCCCAAAAAGCAGCTGACCTGGCAGAAAGGTGGAATGTTCTTCTGATGACTCAGTTATGGTGATGGTTGGAGTATCATCCTACAGGATACAGTATATGCTTTGAATAAGCAACCAACATTTTTCCCCTGTAGCCAGACACACAGGTCTAAGAATCAAGAATTGAAAGTGAAATCATTCCCTTAATATAGTCCCCAAATTTTAGGGTCTTAGTTTACAAAGGAGAGATGCTTAGTTCTCAAAGGGACACAGCAATGTTCCCACTGTATTGGAAGTTACGAGTATTACCTAGCCATTTTGGGTTCCTTTTGTCAACAACCAGAAGAAGAATCATCCTGATTATGAAGAGGAATTGATTTGCTGTGACATAATGGGGCAAGGAGGACTATATCGAAAATCTAGAGGATTTTTCCAGAGTGCCTCGTAATACTTCTATGTTCAGTACTAAAAGTTAAAGAAATATAGCAGCCTAATAAAAGAATGGATCACTAATGATTCAAACTCTTCAAAAGTAAGATTTGCATCTCCCACCAGGTAAAGAATGCCAACCAACCAACATTCCGTACTGTGCTGAAGGGAAATTAGAAGACAGTCTGAGAGGTATAGTGGGAATAAATTTGATAGTGAAAAAGAATTCAGTTCTAGCACTGGATCTGTCACATTATGTTAGACTGACTGTAATAGAAAGAATATGGGTTTGCAAGCCAAACAGAACAAAATTTGAATTATAGTTCCTCTGTTAGCTGTGTTACCTGGGGTAAGTTTCTAAACTTCTCTGAGCTTTCATATCCCTACTAGAGAATAATGGTTCCTTGGTAAGAGTTTTGTGAGAATTATATGGAACGAGTATGTAAAGTTTCTTGTGCAGCACCTTACTTGTAGTAAATACTTGATAAATGGCAGTCAATGTCTTAACAAAATAACAGCACAACAGTAATAATAGTAATAATACTCCCACATTGAGCCTGCCCTTTGCCCTCCTATCACTTTCCACCTTCACTGCAATTATTCCACACTGGACATGGAAAACCAAAATATTATCATGTGGGCTGCTGCTACCTCCACTTTTACTGTGATCGATGTATTAACTACACTTTTTTGCTTCAGACCATCCAGTACAGATGGGTATACAGAAAGAAGCAAGTAGTCTTAGTTCATTACATGTACATAACATCAGACTTCAAAACTCGATGCTCACCAGTAAGTCACAATTGTGGGTTTTTTTTTGTTTGTTTGTTTTTGCTATCAGGTTTATTCCAAAAAGACTTTCTCAGGCTTTTGACCTATCTCTTTATTACAATAGTGGTTATGACCTCTTAAGCCTCTGAGCCTGTAAACATGCTGTTCCTCCTGCTAAGAACTCATCTTTACTTTTTTATCTGGTTAGCTGCTCTTCCTCCTTCAGTTATTAGTGTGTACTGATGCCAGCCTGTCCCTTACCACTAGCTTAGGTGGGGTCTCCCTGCTGTATGTTCACATAGCCCTTGTAGTTTTACTCTTATAACCTTTATGTCACTCTACTTAATTACTTGTTCACTAGGTGAACAAGCTTCCCCACTAGGTTCTGTGTAAGGAAGAACACAGAACTCATCTTTAAAAAAAAAAGTTCTTAAGTGTCAATTTTTTAAATTTTTTTTTATTTCAATAGTTTTGTGGGGTACAGGTGGTTTTGGTTACATGGATAAGTCCTTCAGTGGTGATTTCTGTGATTTTGATGCACCCATCACCATTACCCAAGCAGTATACACTGTACCTAATATGTAGTCTTTCTTTCTTTTTTTTTTTTTTTTTGAGTTGGAGTCTTGCTCTGTCACCCAGGCTGGAGTGCAGTGGCCAATCTTGGCTCACTGCAACCTCTGCCTCCCAGATTCAAGCGATTCTCATGCCTCAGCCACCCGAGTAACTGCGACTACAGGCACACACGACCATGCCCGGCTAATTTTTGTATTTTTAGTAGAGATGGAGTTTTGCCATTTTGGCCAGGCTAGTCTTGAACTCCTGGCCTCAAGCGATCCATCCGCCCCGGCCTCCCAAAGTGCTGGGACTACAGGCATGAGCCACCGTGCCTGACCCCACTATGTAGTCTTTTATCCCTCACCCCCACCCAACCTTCCCCACACCTGAATCCCCAAAGTACATTATATCATTCTTACATCTTTGCATCCTCATAGCTTAGCCCCTGCTTATAAGCGAGAACATACTATATTTGGTTTTCCATTCTGGAGTTATTTCACTTAGAATAATGGCCCCCAGCTCCATCTAAGTTGCTACAAAGGACATTATTTTGTTTTTTATGGCTGAGTAGTATTTCATGGTGTGTGTATATATATATACACACCACATTTTCTTTATTTACTTGGGTGATGGGCATTCAGGTTTGTTCCATATTTTTGCAGTTGCAAATTGTGCTTCTGTAAACGTGTGTGCACGTGTCTTTTTCATATAATGAATTCTTTTCCTTCGAGTAGATACACAGTAGTGGGATTGGGATTGCTGGATTGAATGGTAGATCTACTTTTAATTCTTTAAGGAATCTTCATATTGTTTTCCATAGTGGTTGGACTAGTTTACATTAGCACCAGCAGTATAAAAGTGTTTTCTTTTCACCACATCTACACCAACATCTATTGTTTTTTCACTTCTTAATTATGGCTATTCTTGCAGGAGTAAGTTGGTATCTCATTGTGGTTTTAATTTGCATTTCCCTGATAATTAGTGATGTTGAGCATTTTTTGATATGTTTGTGGGCTGTTTGTATAAGCTTTTGAGAATTGTCTATTCACATCCTTTGCCCACTTTTTGATGGGATTATTTGTGTTTTTCTTGCTGATTTGTTTGAGTTCTTTGTAGATTCTGGATATTAGTCCTTTGACAAATACATAGTTTGTGAATATAGAAACTCATCGTTTTTATTCATCACTCTACCATCAGCCTAGAACAGTGTCTGGCAAATCCTCATGTACTACTAACCACAAGTTTGTGTGTTTCTATTATTTTTAAAAGTGGCTGTAGTTTTTTGGGGTTTGTTTTTTTGTTTGTTTGTTTTTTTTGAGACAGATTCTTGCTCTGTCACCCAGGCTGGAGTGCAATGGAGTGATCTCGGCTCACTGCAACCTCTGCCTCCCAGGTTCAAGAGATTCTCCTGTCTCAGCCTCCCGAGTAGCTGGGATTACAGGTGCACACCACCATGCCTGGCTAATTTTTTGTATTTTAGTATAGATGGGGTTTCACCATGTTGCCCAGGCTGGTCTCAAACTCCTGAGCTCAGGCAATCCACCCACCTCGGTCTCCCAAAGTGCTAGGATTATAGGCGTGAGCCACTGTGCCCAGCCTAAGGGCGGTTGTAGTTTTAAAGTCCTGTTTTATTATTGATCTATTAAATTTATTCAGCAGATATTTGAGAACCTACTACTTAGGTGCTGGTGATAGAGCAGTGAACAAAACAGACAAGGTCCCTTCTGTCATGGAGCTTACATTCCAGTTGGGGGAGACAGATTTTAAAAGTATGTAATATGTCAGGTAATGATTAAATGCTAAAGGGAAAAAAAAGCAGAGTAAGGGCTAACTGGCAGGAAGTAGAAGTTAATGCAACCAACCGCATCTCAGCTCACTGCAACCTCCGCCTGCTGGGTTCAAGCGATTCTCCTGCCTCAGTCTCCCGAGTACCTGGGATCACAGGTGACTGCCACCACGCCCAACTAATTTTTGTATTTTTTTAGTAGAGACGGGGTTTCACCATGTTGGCCAGGGTGGTCTCGAACTCCTGACCTCAGGTGATTCACCCGCGTCGGCCTCCCAAAGTGCTGGGATTACAGGTGTGAGCCACTGCACCCAGCCAACCCCATTTTTAAAAGTTTTTTTTTTCTTTTTTTTAAACAAGAGAAAATAGATACATGTTGGTCAGTGCTAACTGTCCATATTCACATAGACACACAGTGTACTTTCTGAGCCCAATATACAGAGAAAGGAGGCAAGAAGCTAGAATTCTATGCACTGCTACGCAGGAGCCTAGCACCCTCCAGCTTCCAGCAGAGCGAAGGGAGCAGGTTTTTCTTTTTTCCCACAGAACTTGGTGGTGTTGATTCCATACAGTTTTTATTCAGACAGGAAGGGATAAAAATGAATTTCGAACAGAAAGGGGTAGAGACTCTTTTCTCAATGTAGTCTGCTCAAGATATTTCCCCCAATTAAGTGTAGAGAAAAGAGACCTCAAGAATAGGGCGACTGAGCACAGGAGGCAAAAACAAAACAAAATAAAACAGACTACAACTTGCTCCCAGGGACTGGAGAAAATTTAAAAAGGGGAAGGTTGGAATCCATCAGTATTCTATTAGTCATCTCTTTCATCCTTCTCTCCTTCCTCCCCTTCATCATCATCTTCTTCACCTTCATCTTCATCCCCTTCTTCATCAGTGTCTTCTAATCCTTCCTCCTCCTCCTCATTATCATCTTCTCCTTCTTCATCATCCATATGGGGAACCAAGTAGTACTGTAATGGGTTTGGCCAAATATCATCTTTGATGTCCTCTCCTAAGTCATCGGCCCCTGCATCAGAATGGTCAGTAAACCAGGTCAAGAAGCTCTCTGGTGCCTCATGCTGCCTCTTCCTGCTGGCTTTATTCTGCATTTGACTTAAACGTTTCGTCACATCCTTTCCAGATTTCCATTTGATTTCAGTGGATTTTGAAGATGGATTACCACTCTCATTCAGATGAAATTCTTTGGAGAGAACTTTATTTTCAAAGTAAGGATTTTCATCAAAATAAAAATCTACTCTGTAACCTGATTTAATATCTTCAAATTCTGTCACTTCAACTCTGGTCAAATAATGCAATGTCTCTTCGTTTTCCTTCCCAAGCAGTGCAGACACTTGTAAATGATTGCCAAATGTTGTTACCCCCAAATTTAGGATTTTAGAGATCAATTCTGACCTCTTCTGAAAAAATGGTTGGCGGAGTTTGTTATATTTCTGTTCTACTTTCAAAATCTCCTCATTGTCTTGTTCATTAAGTCTGTCTATTTCATTTTGTATTTCATCAATGTGTTCAATTGCTTCTTGCTGTTCTTTTTCGCCCTTCTTTGGCAAGCCTACAGAGGCCGAAGTCTCCTCTGGTCTCAGAACAGGAGGTGGTCTTGGTGTCTTCTTTCGAGACAGGAGGGAAGACTGGCATTTGGGGGCCAGGCTGCTAGGGAAGCCCAAGAACCAGACCACCAGTCTCCTTGCTCAGGCAGAAAACTCCAATTTCTTATATTTAATTTCATGAACATAGCTTATATGTTAGCAAGTTTAAGGTCATTTTTGAGATTCCCTTTGAGGCCCACCATGTGGGCATTACATTGTGAATCATCCATATGTGTTTGAAATAATGTGTACTCTCATTTGGGTACAGAGTTCTTTAATACTCTATTAGCAATGGAGGTCCAGGACCTGGAGACAGAATAGGGAAAGGAATATCCTTCTCTATTTACCATTAAAATTCTATCAAAGTGGGAGGCCCAATGGATAACAGGAGTATTCCTGGAAGCCATTCCTACGTGGGCATGGCTAGCAATATCTTAACAATACATAGAAATGACCATGAACCACACAAAAATATCCCACTAAACCCAAAGTAAATGTATCTCCAGCTCAGCTTGCTCTTTGCTTCCTAGAGAGACAGAAAGTAGATTAGTAGTTGCCTGGGGCTGGAGGTAAGAATGGAGAGTGAGGCAAATGAGCCTGAGGAATCTTTCTAGAGTGATGGAAATGTTCTAATTGATTGTGGTGACTGTTGCACAACTCTGTAAATTTGCCAAAAATAACTTTTAATAAATGAAAGTTACGATATGTAGATCATACCTTAATAGAGCTGTTTACAAAGTTTTTTTTTTTTTGAAAAGCGAGATCAGAGATTCGAATGTGAAAAGGCTGTGACATATAAGTAATACTTATGAACTAGCTCACATTGAGTAATCGTTTTGTCTCATCAAGAGTCCTATATACTGTGGGAAAGTTTGTTGTGCACCCGAAACATCTATGTGTGCCGAGCGACTTTGTGGACAGTGCCTCCCCGGTAAACCCGCTCTGTCTGCAGTGTCCGGAGCTTCTCCCACAGGAGTTTGCTAATCCCACCTTTGTGGCCAGATTCTGTGCTGCAAAACGGACATCTCCTCCCCCTCTTCTCCATTCCCCTCCTTCCTAATAAGACTCTTTTCTGGAGAACTGAGGTCAACATCAGATTTCAAATATTTAAAGTGGATACAAAACTATTTCAGCAATGCAGACAATTAGTTGCATTGTTGTGGTCAATGCAGTTGTTGGTAAAACATGTCTCCTGATATCCTACACAACAAATTTCCATCCTAATAGATACAGACTGTTTTTGACAACTATGCACTCACAGTTAGGACTGGTGCAGAGCCATATACTCTTAGACTTTTAATTCTGCAGGGCAAGAAGATTATGACAGACTATAACTCCTGAGTTATCTACACAGATATATTTCTAGTCTGTTTCTCAGTGGTCTCTCCATGTTCATTTTAAAGTATGAAAGAAAAGTGAGGGCCTGAGATAACTCACCACTGTCCAAAGGCTCCTTTCTTGCTTGTCACAACCCAAATTGATCTCAGAGGGTCTATTATTGAGAAAATTACCAAGAACAAATAGAAGCCTATCACTCCAGAGACTGCTGAAAAGCCGGCCCACAACCTGAAGGCTGTCAAGTATATGGACGGTCCTGTACCCACACAGCAAGATCTAAAGAATGGATTTGACAAAGCAATATTGGCTGTCCTGGAGCCTCCAGAACTGAAGAAGAGCTGGAAGCCTATGCTGCTATGAACATCTCTCCAGAGCCCTTTCTGCACAGCTGGTGTAGGCATCATACTAAAAGCAATGTTTAAATCAAACAAAAGATTAAAAATTAAAATTCATTTATGCAATAATGACAAATACCCTGCACCAACCCACATGCATCCATGTGAGACAGGGATTAGAGGTATGGCCCACTTCTCCCTCCCAATACTAGTTAATTCTGAGTAATTGTGTATTGTTAGAAAAGTGATCAGTACTCATTTTTGGTTTTTGTTTCAAAAAACAATTTTGTTTTTACTTAAAAGCAAGGCATGCTTGTGATGACTGTGTAACAGACTAATTGGAATTGTTGAAGCTGCTCCCTGGGTCCATTCTGGAGGGTAATCTGGGACATCTTAGTGGGGTTTTATTTTTTTCTTTTTTGGAGGAGGAGTGTTTGTAGGGTTTGTTTTTTAGTCTTTTTTCTTTTCTTTTCTTTTCTCTTTTTTAATTCATTAACCAGTGGTCAGTCCTTAAGAGGAGAAGGACGGATTGACTCCATATTCGACTTCCTAAATCTAGTTTAAAAAACATGTTCCCTATCTGGGGTGCTTTTAGGAAAGAATATAGTAAATGCCTTATTTAATAACATACCTCTTTTTGAAAGTTACCTTTTCTCTCCACCCTTGAGTAGGCTCAGTATTTGATGAAACTCATGAAAGTGGGTGAAAATTCTCTTGCCCCTGTTCTTTTCTGGGATGCACTAAATATGTGACTGTGACTTTCAAGGAAATTTGTTTGCCGGTTGCTGATTTTTGGGGAAGTTAATTTCTAACTTCTTTAACTGATGAATAAAGAAAAGTATTGCACCTTTGAAATGCAACAAGTGGATTGAGTTTGTAACTTAAAAAAACTTTTTTCCCTGTCAGTCATTGTCTTATATTATTATAGATTTGCAATCAATAGTATATGATGTTTCTAGAATGCAGCTGAAGACCTGGTATGTAGAGGCAATGTGAAGAGCGGTAGCAGAAGACCGACATCTATGGAATGATTCACAGCCTCTCAAGTTATAAGGATGGAGACCTGCTTCATGAAGAAGTTGGGGTGTGGTGGGGATGGATAGAACACTTAACAACATGAGATCAGTCAGGGGAATCTCCTCACTTCTGTGTAGCAGACGAGGAACCCAAGAGCCCCCAAATGAGGCTCTCTGGTTTGTTTTTTTTTTTGAGATGGAGTCTTGCTCTGTCGCCCAGGCTGGAGTGTAGTGGCACAACCTCGGCTCACTGCAACCTCTGCCTCCCCGGGGTCAAGCAATTCTCCTCCCTTAGCCTCCCGAGTAGCCAGGACTACAGGCACGTTCCACCACGCCCGGCTAATTTTTGTATTCTTAGTAGAGACAGGGTTTCACCAATGTTGGCCAGGCTGGTCTTGAACTCCTGATCTTGTGATCCGCCCGTCTTGGCCTCCCAAAGTGCTGGGATTACAGGCATGAGCCACCACGCCTGGCTGGCTCTCTGGTTTAATAAAAATTGTGTAAAGAATCTTATTGAAAGGTGACAATGTGCTGGCGGCCCTCGCTGGCTCTCAGCGCCTCCTTGGCCTCAGAGTCCGCTCTGGCCATGCTTGAGGAGCCCTTCAGCCCGCTGCTGCACTGTGGGAGCCCCTCTCCAGGCTTGCGGAAGCTGGTACCAGCTCCCTCTGCTTGCAGGGAGGTTGAGGGAGAGACGCGGGTGGGAACCGGGGCTGCATGTGGCCTTGCGGGACAGCGCGAGTTCCGGGTGGGCGTGGGCTCCGTGGCCCCGCACTCGGAGGGCGGCCGGCACCCCCGGCCCGGGCAGTGAAGGGCTTAGCACCTGGGCCAGCAGCTGCAGAGGGGGGCGTCAGGTCCCCCAGCACTGCCAGCCGGCCCGCGCCACGCTCAAATTCTCACCAGGCCTCAGCCACCTCCCCATGGGGCAGGGCTCGGATCTGCAGCCCGCCATGTGCAAGTCCCCCCGCGGTGGGCTTCTGCTAGGCCCTAGCCTCCCTGAGGGGCACCGCCCCTGCCTCAGCGGCGTCCAGTCCCATTGACTGCCCAAGGGCTGCTGAGTGCAGGCACGAGGCACGAGCGCAGGACTGGCAAGCAGCTCAGCCCGCAACCCTGGCATGGCATCCACTAGGGGAAGCCAACTGGGCTCCTGAGAGGGGTGGGGACTTGGAGAACTTTTATGTCTAGTTAGAGGATTGTAAATGCACCAATCAGCACTCTGTCTAGCTAAAGGTTTGTAAATGCACCAATCAGTGCTCTGTGTCTAGCTCAGGGTTCGTGGATGCACCAATCAGCACTCTGTATCTAGCTAATCTCCTGGGGACTTGGAGAACCTTTATGTCTAGCTAAAGGATTGTAAACACACCAATCAGCACCCTGTGTCTAGCTCAAGGTTTGTAAATGCACCAATCAGTGCTCCGTGTCTAGCTAATCTAGTGGGGACTTGGGGAACCTTTATATCCAGTTAAAGGATTGTAAATACACCAATCAGCACTCTGTATCTAGCTCAGGGATTGTAGACACATCAATCAGCACCCTGTCAAAACGGACCAATCAGCGCTCTGTAAAATGGACCAATCAGCAGGATGTGGGTGGGGCCAGATGGGGGAATAAAAGCAGGCTGCCAGAGCCAGCAGTGGCAACCTGTCTGGGTCCCGTGCCACGCTCTAGAAGCTTTGTTCTTTTGTTGTTTGCAATAAATCTTGCTGCTGCTCACTCTTTGGGTCTGCACTGCCTTTATGATCTGTAACACTCACCGTGAAGGTTTGCAGCTTCATTTCTGAGGCCAGTGAGACCCGAACCCACTGGGAGGAATGAACAACTCCGGACGCGCCACCTTAAGAGCTGTAACACTCACTGCCAAGGTCTGCAGCTTCACTCCTGAAGCCAGCGAAACCACTGAACCCACCAGGAGGAAGAAACTCCAAACATGTCCGAACATCAGAAAGAACAAACTCCGGACACGCTACCTTTAAGAACTGTAACACTCACCACCAGGGTCCGCGGCTTCATTCTTGAAGTCAGTGAGACCAAGAACCCACCAATTCAGGACACATTATCAAGATTCTTCACAAATGTTAATAGGGATTTTTATCAGTTTTAGTTGTAGTTTCCAATTTCTAAAAATGTTCAGGTAATTTTTTTACACCTTTCAGAACCTAGCTCATGAGTGTTGAATCAATGCTTTTTCATGTCAATTCTTTGTATAGGCATTCTTTTCAGTTGTATTAAACAAGAACCCTTCACAACAAAAAAACAAAAATACACGCTTCTTTCACTTGGAGCACTAGCTAATAGGAGGAAAAGATTCAGGTAAGGTAATTTACCTTCCCATATGAACTTAAAGTTTCATGTGTCACTCTCCATCTGGGGCAACTGTATTTTGAAAGACATGCTAGTTAACACAGGTGAATCAGCCTTTAATAGTGATAAAGTTTTTACTATAGTAGAAACTTGTGATTCTTTCCCTTTTCAATAAGGAAAGGAGATTACCGCCAGGAGTGATTTGCCACTTATTGCAGGTTTGCCAATTTTGATTCATTAACTGAACCCTCTTGCAGATTCAGGAGATAAAAATGCGGAGTGCCCAGTTAAATTTGAATTCAGATAAACACCAAATAATTTAGTATATCCCAGATATTTCATTTTTAAAATAATAAATGTGACCCATGCAATATTTGGGACATACTTCACTATTTGTATCTAAAATTCAAGTTTAACTGGGCATCCTATATTTTATCTAACAACCCTACTGTAATTGGTTTAGGTTGCTCTTTAATGCCTTTGGTTTGCTTTCAAAAATAAGTAGTCTCAAAACAAAGCATCCGATTTCCCAGTAGTTAGAAGAACTCAATACCGGTTCCGAAGCTTCTTCAATTAAAAACGTGCTTCAAAAGAGAAGCCAATTCTGTGGGAGATACTTTCCCAAAAAACTCGGGTTTGGGCCCCTATACCGTGAACTACAAACCTCCGCAGGGGTAGGCCCGGGCTGCCCGCCTCACACCGCACTCGCCAGCGAGCAGGGGCCCGGCACCGCAGCCCGGGGCAGAGGCCTTGGAGGTTGTGGAGGTGGGAGAGGCCTCGGCCGACCCGCTTCAATCCGTCTTCTCCAAGCTCGGTGGGGAAAACAAACTTCCTGAGCGGCCCTGCCCCCTCCAGATGCCGGACGCTGTTTTCGTCTCATCCCCGTCTGGGTTGGATGGCGAAGACGGCGCTCAGAGCACGCAGCACCGGGAATTAACAGCGAGTTTTGAAATCTAGAGCTCGCAAGGTGTGCGTCGCCTGCTGCTGTTCATTCCAGAGGGTCTTCTGCTGGAGAAGGAGGGGGCCCTCGACCTCGGGCTCCCGCTCTCGGGCTCCCGCTCTCTCGCTCTCTTTTTTTTTTTTTTTTTTGGTCGGAGGAAAGAAAACAGCCCTGCGCCCGGATGCGTAGAGAGCCGACAAGTGGAAACAGGGACACACCCTCCCGTGAGCCCGCCCAAGCTGGAGCCGCGGCGCGCTGAGCGAGCAGGCGGGGCGGGAGCGCCCACAGCTCGGAGCCACCAGGCGCTGACGAGGAGCCCGGCTGAGGGAGGATGCGCCGCTGACGCCTGCGGGAGCCGCGCGCCTGGGGCGGGAGGATGCTCCAGAGGGGCCTCTGGCCGTGGCGCACGCGGCTGCTGCCGACCCCTGGCACCTGGCGCCCAGCGCGCCCGTGGCCGCTGCCGCCTCCGCCCCAGGTAAGAGCGGGTGCCGGGCTGTGGGGGTTCGGGGTAGGCTGGTGCAAAGTTTGCGTTGGACAACTTTGGCGGGAGCAAAAGCCGAGCGGCCGAGCAGTCAACTGCGTTTTGCTGGCTGCCGGGCTCCGCGCGCCGGGCGGTCCCGACAGGTGGTGGCCGGGCGGCCGACGTGGGTCACGGAGGCCTGGGCTGAGGTCAAGACTCCGGGCCCGGGGAAGGTGAAGCCAGAGCGCTGCGGCTGGGGGTGCCTCACCCGGGCCGAGATAGGGTGCGGGGACCACCAGACTTCGGCCTGGGAGCAGCAGAATAACCTGGGAGGCAGTTTCTGGGCTGCAGCTCTCGGTCAGGAGCAAGTTTCCAAAGCCGCTGCGCCGCGGGGCCGGTTCCCTCTTGGTGATCAGTGCCCGAGCCCCTAAGGAGCCCGGAAACGATGAACGGGGCAGTGACCGTCCCGGGTGTGGACGGTCGCAGGAGAGTGAAATTTCCATCCTGAAATCTGCGAGCACCTCCCTTTCCCAGAAGGAAGAAAAACTCGCGTTTTGTTCAGACACCCGAGAGACGGGTGAATCATGAGTGTGCTGGTGAGTAACAGTTGGCCTGACACCGTTGTATTGTGGTCTGTGGAGAACCGTGGCTTGGAGGAGTAGAGAGTGGATGTGCACCAAAAAAGACTAGAAGAAGGGGAAAGCGCTGAGTTTAAGGAGGATTGCGATGGAGCCTGACAGGAGCCCGGGAGTGCAAACTCTGACCCAGATGAGGAAAGACAGCCAAAGCCTTCAGGGTGTGTGTGGTTGGGGAGGGAGCTGTTTCTGAGTTTTCGTTTGTTCCTCCCCCACACTGTTAAGATTACTTTCAGATTGTTAAAGGCTTAAAAGCCAAAAAGTAAGCAGTGTGATTCTCTTGTCACTTTCACTTCCTGTTTATTTTGTTCTTTTTTTTCCTTCCCCCCCTTTTCCTCCAGCTGTCTGAGGGCTTCAGTTTCAATTGATGCAGGGAATATTTAAGTGCATTTTTTTTTCCTTTTCATTGAGCTTGTGACCAAAGGATTAAGTGCATTCAGAAAATCAATTCCAGGAATGTTTGAAAGAGAATGAGGAAGGCCATGTTGTTACTAAATGTAAGAACAGGGGCAAACTCCTTAAAATGTAAAATGGTAGACTTATAAAGTCATTGGGGAGATGGGCTTTTTATACTTTTAAAGGTTGTACTTTTACTGTAAGTGTTGCATTGTGTAGTCAAAGAGATACCAAACATTAAAACAACCCAATACGAGGAACCCCTTTCACATGCCATTTTAAACACAGATTATTGTTTTTTGTTGTTGTTTTTGGAGACGGAGTCTTGCTCTGTTACCCAGGCTGGAGTGCAGTTGTGCGATCTCGGCTCACTGCAACTTCCGCCTCCTGGGTTCAAGCGATTCTCCTACCTCAGCCTCCCCAGAAAATAGGATGACCGGCGCGCGCCACCGCACCCGGCTAATTTTTGTATTTTTAGTAGAGACGGGGTTTCACCATGTTGGCCAGACTGGCTGGTCTCGAACTCCTGACGTTGTGATCCGCCCGTCTCAGCCCCGCAAAGTGCTGGGATTACAGGGGTGAGCCACCGCGACCAGCCCCAAGTGTTTTCTATTAAGTCCATTTAACACGTTGAGTAGCATTTTTGTGGATCCCGGGACTGGCTGCCCTTTCTCAAATTATCACCTGCAAATCCTTTTCTCCATATTTCCCATCTGATGCTGTCTAGGGTGGTGCCATTGCATACCTCAGCAGGAATGTGGATACCCTTTTAAAAGAAAATGGTACCATCGGGCTTATTAGGCCTAATAACAGGGAAACAGTAGTTAGGAATCATCGTAAGAAGCGTTATGTTTGAATGTTTCTAATTTGCAAATTTTTGTTTTAAGCCAACTGTCCAGCTATAAAGACAATTTTCAGAACTTGAGAAGTGGAAATGCTGTTCTTTATATACAGCTTTTACATTTTACCATGAGTAAACCGATAAAAATATTCTGGCTCTTGAGGAGTTTTAGCTAGGACTACTAAACCATTTTCTGCTAATCAAATTACCTGGCTATCGGGACATTTTTCATTCTAAGATATCACTCTTTTGTGGCTTTCCCACTTGTTATGAAATATCCTGTGGGTAAAGGCAAGTATTATTTCTATTTATTTTTTTTCCCAGAAACATTCAGACCCCTAGAGCCTATGAAGCAGCTAGAAAAACAAGTAGTTTGTGACCTGACAGCTCATAAAATCTTAGCTTGCAAGGACTTGTCGTAAGCAGTATTTCAAATAAGCGTTCCCAACTATAATTGGTCTTTCTGAAGTCTTTCACACTTCTATGAGTGTGCCTTATAGGAGCATTTAATAACTTTGAAAAATACACAATTCTCATACTTCATATTGTATGTGAGCAATTGTCTGCTAGTGTTTTCTGGGTGAGGGGAAAAAAAAACAGTTTGTTGACATGGATATACAGAATTGTTTTTTAAAGAACACATTTAGTCTGAAGCGTAGTAGAGCAAGAGCATATTGTATTCATCTTTGGGCAAGGCATGGCCTGGTGGCCATAATCACGCTCTGGTGGCAGCATCTCTGCTTGTCAGCACTCTAGCTGAGTGGTTGTCAGGGCAATCCATGGCTCCTGCTGATGTTTCTGTGCACAAAGACTCAGCTTTGAGTAATTGTGGTGCTTGGTGAGTTACATCTGAACAGAAAGCCCTTGCCTAAATGTGCCTTTCTTAATTTGGATTTTGTGCTACTTAGACTGAGAAACTCCCTGATACGATTTCATGTCCCCAGTACAGCATTTGAGTCCATACATAAGCTATGTTTAAAAAATTTTTACATCAAGCACTCTGCAGAGCAGCTTAAGTATCGAGTATGCTTTTTTTAACTTCTAGAAACAAAGCATATGGATGTTTAAATTCCACCACAAGATGTCAACTTAGAAATTGTTTTCATCTTTTTAATTTAATGAACATATCGTTCTTGTTTGACATGTTCCTACTATTCTATCTCTTGTATTTGCAGTTGGTACATTGTATTCTATTCTATAAAACTAACTTCAGAGCCCTCTCCTGAGGAGAGCAATTGGTTAAGTGTTGGTGATTGTATTTACGCTATGGAAAAGACATTGATGCTTTGATCTCAAAGTAATGCTAGACCAGCTTGTCAATTAAATATTAAACATTACCACTTTTGCAGCACTTAAGTATTAGTGTGTTTTTTTTAGATTTTGCTTGTTATTGTGATTAAATGGTATTAGTGCTGTTTTACAGCAAATTCTAAGCTAGGAAATCATTTGTGTCTTGGCAGAAAGATATTTGTTGAATGAGGTACCTGTGAAACTAAGGTAGAAAACCTCGAGCTAAAACTCCTGACCTCGTGATCCTCCTGCCTCAGCCTCCCAAAGTGCTGGGATTACAGGCGTGAGCCACCGCGCCCAGCCCACAGCACTTCTTAAAAAAATAAAAGTAAAGGAAAAAGCCAGACCTAATAATCTACTCAATCTAGTAAATATCATAAGATCCTCAGGAAGAACTCATATTTGTGGGGTGACCCTTGCCAGTCTTCAAGATTTTCCTCTCTAAAGTTTACCACAGCAAAGCTTTGTGAACCTGTCAGTTTCTTGATATGAGATTCAATGTTTTATGTCATTTCTTATTTATTTCTGCTTATAGGCTATATGCATTTCTTTCTTTTCTTTTTTTTTTGAGACGGAGTCTTGCTCTGTCGCCAAGCTGGAGTGCAGTGGCGCAATCTCAGTTCACTGCAACCTCCGCCTCCCGGGTTCAAACGATTCCCCTGCCTCAGCCTCCAAGTAGCTGGGATTACAGGCATGTGCCACCATGGGGGCCAGCTAATTTTTTGTATTTTAGTAGAGACCGGGTTTGGTTTCACCATGTTGGCCAAGATGGTCTCGATCTCCTGACCTCGTGATCTGCCCACCTTGGCCTCCCAAAGTGCTGGGATTACAAGCATGAGACACTGCGCCCGGCTGGCTATATGCATTTCAAGTCTAGCCCCATATCTTGCCTCTCTTTCACTGTTCCCTATTTCTTGCCCTCAAATCTATTCCAAAAAAATTATCTTCAATAGACCTTGTTTATCATGCAGATTTCATAGATGATTTCTCATCAATATTGTGAATCCTGGACTGAAATCTGTTCCCTAAAGAGCTGCCAAAATGCAAACCTGATCTACAATACTTGTAGTGAACCTGTAATTAAGGTAAAAATTATGTAAAATCAACACATCTGGAAGTTTATGACACAGGAAACTCTCAGAACAAATGGTTACAGGGCTTGGTAGTTGATGCAAACTATACTTTAACTCAGGTGGGGATGGGGTAGCAAGGAAATAGGAAGATTTAGAGCAGGTGAGGGCAGCAGGAAGAAAAGAGGAATCCACTTCCATAAGTGAGTGAGGAGAGTAGTAACTTCAGTACTACCATCTTTCTTTGAGAGAGAACTATAGCATCAAAATTAGATTCTTACAGCAACTCCATGCAACACAATCAATATGTATTGAGCACCTTCGATGGGCAAAGCAGCAAAAAGACAAAGTGAACAAGAAAGAGACTGGTCTGCCACACTTCCACAATTAACTACTTAGAACATATTTGTTCAAGTATTAAAGAGTTGATTTTTATTTAAAACCTTATTTATGCATCACTTTTTTCCCATTAAAAGATGCTTATGGAAAAATGGGTGGTGATATGACCAGAGGAAAATGAAGGTAGAGAAGATGAAACTATGAGTACTGTAAATACATAACATGCATGGCATAGGTCTTTCACATTTGTTAGAAGTGGGTCAAAAATCTGATCCTCAGCGTTCTGACAGCCATTGCATAAACAACACCACTGGCTATACGCTTCACTGTCTGTATAATATACACTGCATCTGCTCTGGAGAAACCCAACTATTCTAATATTAAGACTAGACAGCAATTTCTTCCATGGGTCCTCTTAATGGGTACCTTTAACTGACTACCAATGTTTCATCAACCTCTTTTTTCAAAGGTATGCCAATGTGGAAAATTCAGTGAAAACATTTGGGTGAAGGTTCCTATGCCACAAAGTTAAATACTTAGCTCAGAGAACAGCGAGCTGGTGTGTGTTTAAAAAACAAGGAAAATTAATACTGTTAAAGTAAATGCGATAAAAAAAGATTCTTCTAGAATATGGCTGAGATAATGCTGTTTCGTTCATTATCTAATGGTTGATAACTTCTAGGATAACCTAAGATGTCTGTTATATAAAGCTTTTAGGGTTCTGACGATAATCCTGAATAAGAAATACTTCACAGATAAAAACACTGGTAACAGAATGAAGCATTAGAGAGAGACTTACTCTAATTCATTATGATATGCGAAACCCATCAAATAAATTTTCATTTCTTTTTTTTTTTTTTTTTGAGACAGGGTCATGCTCTTGTTGCCCAGGCTGAAGTGCAATGCTGTAACACAGTTCACTGCAGCCTCAACCTCGTGGGTTCAAGCGATCCTCCCACCTCACCCTCCGAAAGTAGCTGGGACTACAGGCAGGCACACACCACCATGCCTGGCTAATTTTTTGTGTTTTGTTTGTTTGTTTTTGTAGAGACAAGGTCTCACTATGTTGCCCAGGCTGGTCTCAACCCTGTGGGCTCAAGTGATCCTCCTGCCTTGGCCACCCAAAGTGCTGGGATTACAGGCGTGAGCCACTGTGCCCAGCCAAATTTCAATTTCTTTTGAAAGGAAAAACAGTGGCCGGGCACAGTGGCTCACGCCTGTAATTCCAGCACTTTGGGAGGCCAAGGTGGGCAGATCACGAGGTGAGGAGATCGAGACTATCCTGGCTAACACGGTGAAACCCCGTCTCTACTAAAAATACAAAAAAATAAGCCGGGCTTGGTGGCGGGCGCCTGTAGTCCCAGCTACTCGGGAGGCTGAGGCAGGAGAATGACATGAACCCGGGAGGCAGAGCTTGTAGTGAGCCGAGATCGCGCCACTGCACTCTAGCCTAGGCAACAGAGTGAGACTCTGTCTCAAAAAAAAAAAAATAAATAAATAAATAAAGGAAAAACAGTTATTACAACCACTAAGTAAAACTACCACTCTGTTGACTGCCTAAGATCATAAAAGAGAATTTTTCAATCATTAAGACCATTCTGACATTGACAATATTTTGTTCAATGGTGTATTTATATTCCCCTGGTAAAACAACAAAATGGCAATTTTAGGGATGAAAAGGACTTTTAAGACCAATTAGACGAATCTCCTTGTTTTGAGAAGGGGACAAAACAGGCCCAAATAGACTGAATGACTTCAGCTAAGTTCACAGAGCTAAGTGGTGGTAGGGCCAGGTTGGCAGGCATTCACGTGTCGCATTGCTAGCTTAACACCAACCAAATTAGTTGCTCATTTCTATTCATGACCCAAACGCATTTAGTTTATATAGCAGATGTTAGTTAGATTAATCAATATTTAAGACCAGCCTGACCAATATGGTGAAACCCCATCTCTACTAAAAAATACAGAAAATTAGCTGGGTGTCGTGGCAGGCACCTATAATCCCAGCTACTTGTAAGGCTGAGCCAGGAGAATTGGTTGAAGAGTAGATGTCTTTTTTGAGACGCGAGGCAGAGGTTGCAGTGAGCCGAGATCGCATCATTGCACTCCAGCCTGGGCGACAGAGCGAGACTCCATCTCAAAAAAAAAAAAAAAAAAAAAAGTGCTGTGGACACAGGTGGTATTATATTCAACTGCATATATAACTTTTTATAATGAATGCACTGCCCAAATCACATTTCTGGAACCTAAAGATGAATTTGCTTATTTTCAACCTCTTGGGCGTAACAGTAAATAATGAATGCCCTGATCCTGTGCTGAGGAAGGAAGACTTATCTATTTGATAAGTCCTTCTTGTTTTTTCTGACTCTGCATGGTACTGTATGTGTTCCTGTGGGGCATGTACAGTACATACATGTTATGTACAAACATAGTATGTTTTCTTTTGTTAAACATTTTGTTTGTTTTTGGAGATCGAGACCATCTTGGCCAACATGGTGAAACCAAACCTGGTCTCTACTAAAATACAAAAAATTAGCCAGACATGGTGGCACGTGCCTGTAATCCCACCACCAAGGCTGGCTAATTTTTTGTATTTTAGTAGAGACCGAGTTTGGTTTCACCATGTTGACCAAGACGGTCTCGATCTCCAAAAACAAACAAAGTGTTTGTTTCCTAGTGGCTGAATGGGATATTTGAACAGGGGCTTTTTATTTTATTTATTTTGAGATGGAGTCTTGCTCTGTCACCCAGGCTGTAGTGCAGTGGCACGATCTCAGCTCACTGCAACCTCCACCTCCCGGGTTCAAGCAATTCTCCTGTCTCAGCCTCCCAAGTAGCTGGGACTACAGCCGCCCGCCACCATGCCTGGCTAATTTTTGTATTTTTAGTAGAGACAGGGTTTCACTATATTGGTCAGGCTGGTCTTGAACTGCTGACCTCAGGTGATCCACCCGCCTCGGCCTCCCAAAGTGCTGGGATTACAGGTGTGGGCCACCGCTCCTGGCCTGAACAGGGGATTTAAAAAGTTATTGATGAATAACTTCTTTCTAGAGACTGACTGTAATGTGACCATAAACCTGGGGGGGAAAAATTATTTTAGAGAGTGTTTTGCAAAGAGACATCATTGGCCCTCTAAGCCCTTGCTAGAGAATATTTGTTAAGACATTTTGTAGTCTAATACTCATTTCTGTAACTCGGCTTCGGGAATGTTTTAGAAGATAGAATTGGTATAATAAACCGGTTTTCACTTTTCAAGAGAAAATATAGTTCCTTTGGACCTTGTAAATACCCTTTTATGGGTTTGTTATTATTGAAACAAAGGTAAGCAGGTAAGCAAGCCTTAAAACATAAACTGCAGTTGAACCAGAGCCATGGCCTCATCCCTCCAGTTCCATCTTCTGCTCTATCTCTTCCGTATCCCCGCTCTAGCGTGGCTGAGCTAATTCCTCTTCTTCTTGTGGCTTGTCATGTATTTTCACCCCTCGTTGCTGATGTTTATGGTGTTCCCCAGGCGGTAGTGCCTCTCTCCCTTTACCCCGCTTCTTCACCCTCCTGACTTCTACTCTTTTTTCAAGGCTGAGTTTCAATAGCCACCCCCCATCTCCCCACAGACCCCTCTTCAGTTTTCGTGAGGTCTCTTCAGATCTCTGAAGGCAGATTCCATTATACTTTGTTTTTCAGCCCCACAATACTTACAGAACTTACATCATTCGACCATACATTATAGTTAGTTGTGCTTGTAAGACTTTCCCACCTGGATTCTCAGCAATCTGTGGTCGGAACTGTTTCTTCTCCATCTGTGATCCCCTCTGCCCTGGCACAGTAGGTACATAACAAATGAATGAATGGATAGATGACAAAGAACAAAATAGTATATAAAGTTCCTTAATGGTGTGTTCTGTTCAGGTTTTATCTTCGCAATTTCCTCTTCTCCACTTAATCTAGGGGGAAAACCTGAAGCATTCTTGTCTACTTGTTGAATAATTGAAGATTTTTTAAAAGTTAACAAAAAGAACCTTTATACATATTACATTTTCTATTAAAAGTGAACAGTAGTCTTTTTTTTCTTTTTGAGACAGAGTCTGGCTCTGTCACCCAGGCTGGAGTGCAGTGACACGATCTTGGCTCACTGCAAGCTCCGCCTCCCGGGTTCACGCCATTCTCCTGCCTCAGCCTCCCGAGTAGCTGGGACTACAGGTGCCTGCCACCACGCCCGGCCAATTTTTTATATTTTTAGTAGAGACGGGGTTTCACCATGTTAGCCAGGATGGTCTCAATCTCCTGACCTTGTGATCCGCCCGTCTCGGCCTCCCAAAGTGCTGAGATTACAGGCGTTAGCCACTGCGCCTGGCCATGAATAGTAGTCTTAAATCATATTTTGATTAATTGTTTTATTTCAGATATACTTTCATATCAGGATTTTTAAAGGGCATAATTAACAAAATTTAACAAAATATAAATTCTGGAAGGACTGCCTGGCATATAAGTATTTTCTTGGCTATCCCTTTTTTTTTTTTTTTTTTTTTTTTGAGATGGAGTCTCACTCTGTTGCCCAGGCTGGAGTGCAGTGGTGCGATTTTGGCTTACTGCACCCTCTGCCTCCCGGGTTCAAACGATTCTCCTGCCTCAGCCTCCCAAGTAGCTGGGATTACAGGTGCCTGCCACCACACCTGGCTAATTTTTGTATTTTAGTAGAGATGGTGTTTCCCCATGTTGGCCAGGCTGGTCTCGAACCCCTGACCTCAGGTGATTGGCCTGCCTCGGCCTCCCAAAGTGCTGGGATTACAGGTGTGAGCCACCGCTCCTGGCCAGGTCTCTGTGTTACAGCAGCTCTGCCTGTGCCTTATCTTGTTCCAGTGGCTGACCAGCCAACCAAAAGTTTCTAAATAGATTGAGACATTGTGAGATGAATGCTGTTGGAGGCTGTCAGGAAGCAATATAAAGAAGTTCCGAGAATGGTAATCCATGGTTAAACCTGAAATAGAAGAGGGCATGTAATGCATGTTATAGAGCATAACATTTTGTCTCATGCTCTCTTGGCCTGCCACTCACCCATACTATTTCTGGTTAAAAATCCATCTTTGACATCACTACTTCCATAAATAGAGCCTTTCCTGATTACCTAGATGAAAATCATCTTTCTTTCATCTATCTCCATATAGTGTTTATTTTACTGCTCATTTGGTACTTCTGTACTCCCTTGTATTAGGGCTTTTTTATGTATTGAGCTTACCACCATGCCTGCATCCCCCCATGTACCTTCTCTTTCTCTGTACATTGTAATCTCGAAGATCAGGTGCTGTATCTTTTATATCTTTGGGAATGTATATCTTTGTATTTCTTATTCTGCTAGTACAGGTACTTGTCCTAGTGTTAAATGAATGAGGTATAAGGAGATAGCTGTCATTGTCTTTATGAGAAATTATGTTGGTCTATGTCAGAGATTGGTAAACTTTTCCTGTAAAGGTCCAAATAGTAAACATTTTCACTGTTGGTGGCCTTTGGCCTCTGTCCAAACTACTCAACTTTGCCATTGTAGTGCAAAAGCAGCCATAAATAGTACCTAAATGAATAAGCATGGTTGTGTTCCAATAAACTTTATTTTCAGAAATGGCCACAGACAAGATTTGGCCCATAGGCTGTAGTTTTGGCCAGCTTCTGGTCTGTAGACTCAATATCAAGATTTTGGAAGTACTAATACAGATGTTATGCTAGAGGACTAATTTAGATGTAGCAATACCGTATATGTATAGTGGGATGAGATAAGTACGTTAATAAGGACCAATTACGAAGTCATGGTTATTGTACATGGAGCTGGAATAACAGGAATGGATACAATGGAAAAACAGGAGGAATGTAAAGATGTGTAGAGATTTCAGCAGTTTTCTGTGTTAGCCTTATAACTAACCATGAGGCCACAATGCCTGGCAAGTATGAGAGAAGGAAGAGAATGGGAATGCTAGGACTAAGATGTATAATGAATTCCTGTCTGAAGTCAAGGGAAGAATCAGAGTCAGTAGTGAGTTGCATTTCCTATGAGAGAAGTGACATGATGGATGAAAAGGAAAAGGCTTGGCTAAGGAACATTCAAGGCAGTGCATTGGCACAGGTGTTTATTCCAATAGGTTTATTTCTCTTTAGAATCATTAAACCATGGGTATCTTTCATCTAGCCCAACATTAGAACTTAGTGTGTGTATGTTTTTCCTTCTTTTTCCTTCCCCAAACTGTTTTTTTAAGAAACGAATTTTATATATCTTTCTGGTTCAGAGTAAGCTGTGCTGCTGAAACAAAAAAACCTAATGATTAAACTTTATTTATTTATTTATTTATTTATTTGAGACTGAGTCTCACTCTGTCACCCAGGCTGGGGTGCAGTGGTGCGATCTTGGCTCACTGCAACCTCCGCCTCCCAGGTTCAAGCAAGTCTTCTGTCTCAGCCTCCTGAGTAGCTGGGACTATAGGCACACGCCATCCTGCCCAGCTAATTTTTGTATTTTTAGTAGAGATGGGGTTTCACCATATTGGTCGCCCTGGTCTCCAGCTCCTGACCTCAGGTGATCCACCCTCCTCGGCCTCCCAAAGTGCAGGGATTACAGGCATGAGCCACCGTGCCAGGCTATTGTTAAAGCCAGTTTTTTCCCTCTTAGGAAATGGTTCTGTGATGAGCTCTACAGGTCAAGCAGTAGCTCTGCTCCACACAGTCATTCAGGGAGCTAAGCTGACCTGTTCCTTTGTCATCTCTACATGTGACTTCCAAAGTCAAAAGTGCACAGAGGATGTTTCAGTTTTGCAAGATGTTATGGCCTAGGCCTGGAGTGTTACATATCTTGTGTGTGTGTTCCATTGAATATTTTATTGAATATGTCACATGGTCACATTTAGCTTCAAGAAGGCTGAGATATGTAGTCCTGGCCAGGAACCACATTCTAGCTAAAAGTTGATTACTGTGGGAAGAGGAAGAATGGATTCTAGCAGATGTTTAGCTACATCTGCCACAGTCCCCTTGTCCAGAAACGGGGTAGTTTTGTTTTGGGGGTCACTGAATTTCCAAGACACTATTGAGCCTCACTTATAAGTGTTCCTCAGCAATAGATATTTACAAGGAAACTTTATTTCTCTCTGAAAAACTTAAAAAGTAATTTGAGCTAGAACAGGAACATTTGACACCTTATTGGGTTCATTATAAGCCGCCCTCCAGGCGTATCATAATAGAAAAGGATATAGTCTTGTACACTTACACACTAAGGAAGAGAGAGAAATACATTATAATGGTTAAATTAGAATTTGAGGCCAGAACTGAAGTTTATGCAATAACATCTGATAAGGAAGAAAATAAATATAGCTGAGAAAAGATGCTGACGATATGGTTTTAGGGAGGACTTACTTTAGAGGAATTCTGGTGATTAATAGCTAAATGAGCAATAATAGTTATTAAAAGTATTATGCATATCTGGTACATTAATTTAGTAGCATTTTATAGACAAGCTTGTTATAAATATGTTCTAAAAACTGGAAATCTTAGATATTTAGGATAGTTGAAAGATGTTAACTAACTGTATCTCAGAATAAAACGTGTCTTAGTATATAATATCATAACTGACACTAATTCACTCTAGTTCAGGGTATATTTAGAAAGAGATTAATAACTATATTAGCATGACTTCATATAATGAAGTCATGTTATTTACTTAATTACGTCACTTATATACTTGGTTTTTTAATTTGTCAGATTTGGATGTCACTATTGATCAGTTTCAAATGCATAACTTTGAGATATTAGATATATTTTCAATGGCTTTTCATACTACTACAATATAATTATTGCTTTATATAATGAAATGGCTAGATTGCCATAGCTACATTATATATTTCTTGAACTAGTCACTCTTGTGTATTGTCTGTGGAATATTAGTAAGGCTTCAATTAATGAGTTGTCCAAAGTGCTATTTATAATATGTACATATATGTAGTATTGGAAGTATTTAATATTATTATTACTGATATAAACATATTATAAACTGTACCTGTGCCCAGCAATGTCAAAACATAAAATATCATTGTAGGTCCTGTGGAATTGTCTTTTTCTGGAGTCTTATTATTCTCATCCTACACTGCACCAGACTAATCTGCACTTAGTAAGCACATATTAACCATTGCTTTAAGAATATTAGGAACAGATTGGGCACGGTGGCTCACGCCTGTAATCCCAGCACTTTGGGAGGCCGAGGTGGGCAGATCATGTGGTCAGGAGATAGGGACCATCCTGGCTAACACTGTGAAACCCCATCTCTACTAAAAATACAAAAAAATTAGCCACGCGTGGTGGTGGGCACCTGTAGTCCCCACTACTCGGGAGGCTGCGGCAGCAGAACCGCGTAAACCTGGGAGGTGGAGCTTGCAATGAGCGGAGATCGCGCCACCACACTCCAGCCTGAGCGACAGAGTGAGACTCCATCTCAAAAAAAAAAAAAAAGGAAGAGTGGTAGAAACAAAACCGATTTAGCAATGCTAGGAAAAGGTTGTTTCTCTTAATGGGGGAGAAAAGTATGTATAGGATGAGGGAGTCCTGGCTTGGTAGTTGTGTACAAAGGATCTGGAAGTTTCCGTTGATCCACTCATGAATGATGGATTCTAGAAGCTAGTATGGCTCCTAACTAATTGAAGAGAAATGCAGCATCTGATTACAGCAAGAAACAGTTCCATTTCATTACATTGGGATTGTCACATTGATTGTCAGACTGAGTCAAGGGCATTGTGTTTTGTTACTGGGGCAGTACTTTACAAAGAACACTAACAAAGCTGGACAGGGAGGTGCATTCAGAAGATGATTAAGATGGTGAGAGTTCTTGTAGGAGATGATTAAAAGGGTTGAATTTTTTTTTTTTTTTTTTTTTTTGAGACAGAGTTTCGCTCTGTTGCTCAGGCTGGATTGCAGTGGCGCAATCTCGGCTCACTGCAGCCTCCACTTCCCAGGTTCAAGCTATTCTCCTGCCTCAGCCTCCCAAGAAGCTAGGATTACAGGCGCGCCACCACCATGCCCGGCTAATTTTTGCGTTTTTAGTACAATCAGAGTTTTACCGTGTTGGCCAGACTGGTGTTGAACTCCTGGCTCTGCCTCCCAAAGTGCCAGGATTATAGGTGTCAGCCACTGTGCCCGACTGGGGCTGCATATTTTTAATCTAGTGAAAAAGAAGCTGAGGAAAAGCAAGATATTTGCATTCAAATATCTGAGATGGTATCATGTGAAAGAAGGTTGTCATTCTGTGTTGCTTCCAAGCAAGGAAATTACTCCCAAGATAGAGCAGAATAGGTAGGCAGAGTTCAGCTCAGTTCAAGAAAATTTTTGTATCCATTCTGGCTGTTCCCTAATAGACTGCTTCTTGAAGTGTAGGACTCCCAAGTTTCTAAAATAACTCAGGCAGAAGCTAAAGAAGCACTGGAAAAACTGCCAACACAGCTAGAGCCTGGTGCTGGAGAAGCCATCTATATCTATGCAATAGGAGCCTGTGAAGTGAACACACCCGAACCAGGAAGCAAAATCTTTTCCTCCGTCAGTGGCTCTCTAGTGTCCTCTACTGAAAAAACTTCAGTGCCAGTCAGCAAAGGAAAAATATTTAAAGGTCCCAGATCTATTTTCACAGAGCAGTCAAAAAGGGAGAATTTGAGGGCATATACAAGACGTTAATAACCATCATATGAGGAATGAGACAGCAGCTGTTGTGCAGTACTTGAAGGTGGCAGCTGCACTCATGAGCACTGCCACGCTGGTCAGGCCAAGGAGGGATGGGAGACAGAGCCGGACTGGTCAAGCACTGATAACGAAGTGCTCATTTTAAATACAGTGTTAGTGCCTAGAATAGAAATCAGGGAAGCAGCACTTGTTCCAGGGACAGAGAATCCAACCCAGAGATGGATTGGGTAAGACAGAGATCCAAAAAAAGTATGAGACTTAACAATTGCATGAGAAGTTAGACTGAGTAGAAAGAAAGATGGGTAGATTATTGAGAAGCCAAAAAGTTAGCTTAAATAGGAGCATTTGAGACCCAGGGCTGCCGCAGGTCAGAATGGAAGCTGAGGTGATCTTAATCTCTACGCTTCCTTTCATCGCTGATGTTCTCTGAGGTCCCTTGGGTACCCAGCTTTGATATCTATCACAATGTCAGAAACCACTGAGGTTTGGAGATTGATAAACTCAGATGCCTTGCTAAAATTAGCCTACTGCTGTTCATCCCTTGTTCTGCCCGCTCCTTACCATCTGCCTTCCCCACCAAGGAAAAGCTTTGGCTTATTTATAGTGTAATAACTATTTAGTGAGAGTAATTTTGTTTTAGCTTTTTATTGATATGATATTATTAATCTTTCTGTAAAAGGTCATTGGGGGTTAGACTGTTTGTTGTGAGGTTTTGCCTGAAACCAACTCAAGTGTACTACTCATAACTGTTGTTCATTTGAGCTTAAGCTTGGCTGCTGTACTGACAGGTTATAGTCCATCTTGACATATGAAATTCACTTTATAACGAATCCAGCCACATTCGTTTAATTAGTTTATTCAATTTAGTGGGATTGTGCTGCCATTTAATTAGTGGAGTCTGAATTTGTGCCAGTGACTAAGCATCGTAATCAACAGTTGTTATGCCTGCAATTATGTGAAAACTGACACCAAAGTCTAACCTCTCTTGGAGAGAAAATATACCACCTTAATGTATCTTTCACACTAAATTAGGATGAAATATCTTTATAGTTATCCCATTTATGTAAGGCTATTAGACATTAGAAAAAGGTCATTTCATAAGTATAGCAGTGACCATTAAAATTATTAATATTATAATAGCATAGTAATATTCTTGGTTTTGAAACTTTAGAACAGCTTTGTAGTCTGTGCTAGTCACACTGCTTTCCTGGGAACCTTTTCACTCTTATCTACCTGGTTTAGTCGAATTGGCCATCTTAGTCCAACCTGACCTTCATTCAATTGGCCACCTGACCCAGGAATTTAGAACTAAGTCTAGGATTCTCACCTCTGCTGGCTGCTCTTTTGAATAGTGGAGTTGTACTTGGGGCCATTTGGTGGTGACCATTTTCTACCATGTGGACCAAGAAGCAGTAACAATTCATTTTATAGTGATAAGCAGAATGATGCTGACAGGCAGATAGGAGGAGACGAAATACGGATCAAGAGGACTTCCCAACCTCAATATAACACTCCAGTTCCTGATCCTGAGTCCATTCCTGAGGCTTAATTAAATCCTTCTATGTAGTCTCCGTTAGAGACATTCCTAAGTCCTCAGAGTAAATTTCCATTCTTACTTATGGTAAGTCAAGTAGGTATTTGTTTCTTTCATCCAAATAACAAATATATATGAAGTGATCATTCAAACTTATCAGAAAAACATTAAGAAATGGGTAAAAGACATGAGTGGTTTTCAGAACAGGGAATAAAAATGCAAATAAACATGAAAAGTGGTCAGCCTCACTGATAGTCAAAAAAATGCAAAAACAATAGTAGAAAAAGATAACATTTGCCTTTTTTTTTTTTTTTTTGCCTGTCAAATTGCCAAAGAAAAACAAAAAACTCAAAGCGTAAAGCATGGCATGATGTGGGAACTCTTTTGTGTTGCTAGTGAGAGTGTAAAGTGATTGTATAATTCATGGTCCAACAGGAAACAGATGGCCCACTTAGATTAGGATAATTAGAGGGAAGTTTATACACAAAGGATGATTCACAGAGATGTGGGCGCAGGGGAACCACTAGGGATGGTGTACTAACCTTGGACTACTATTGATGGGCAAGATGAAGGGGTTGTGGACAACAACCCTGTGTCAAGGGCCAAGCCAGATACTCAGAAATTCTTTCTTTTCTTTCTTGTTTTTTTTTGAGATGGAGTCTCACTTTGTTGCCCAGGCTGGAGTGCAGTGGCGCAATCTCGCCTCACTGCAGCCTCTGCCTCCCAGGTTCAAGTGATCCTCCCACCTCAGCCTCCTGAGTAGATGGGATTACAAGCATGTGCCACCACGCCCAGCTAATTTTTGTATTTTTAGTAGAGCCAGGGTTTCGCCATGTGGGCCAGGCTGGTCTTGAACTTCTTACCTCAAGTGATCTGCCTGCCTCCGCCTCCCAAAGTGCTGGGATTACAGGCGTGAGCCACCACACCTGGGCAGAAATTATTTCTTTATGGTTCCTTTAATCATGAACTTTCTAATATTATTAAAACTGAAATGGAAAAATCCTCAGTCCAGGTTAAAACTTCAGGTGCTTTATTCAATCATTTTTAATGACAGAGCTAATTTTTTCCAAGTAAATCCTGTGCAGTTTTTAATACCAGCAGCTTTTGAAGTCAGCACTCCTTTTGTTTCATTAATAATACATGTAAAACGATAGCTAATGCTTAGCATGTGCCATACACTATCATGAGCTTTGTCTCACTCAGTCCCCCTCACTTCTGGGAGTCCTGGGAAATAGGTACTGATATTACCCTGTATTTATTGATCAACTGATAAAGCAACTAAGGCTCAGACCCAGCCTGTCACCTGACTTAATTGAAGTAGAGCTTTGAATATTGCTAAAACTTGATCGTTTCATAGCCTAAAATGGGTACTTGAATTCTTTTTTTTTTTTTTTTTTTTTTTTTTTTTGAGATGGAGTCTCGCTCTGTCGCCCAGACTGGAGTGCAGTGGCGCGATCTCGGCTCACTGCAGGCTCCGCCCCCCGGGGTTCACGCCATTCTCCTGCCTCAGCCTCCCGAGTAGCTGGGACTACAGGCGCCCGCCACCTCGCCCGGCTAATTTTTTGTATTTTTAGTAGAGACGGGGTTTCACCATGTTGGTCAGGATGGTCTCGATCTCCTGACCTCGTGATCCGCCCGCCTCGGCCTCCCAAAGTGCTGGGATTACAGGTGTGAGCCACCGCGCCCGGCCGGGTACTTGAATTCTTTAAGACCTATGAGATTAAATATTAAAAGGGACCACAAAAGTGACCTAGCCACATCAGTTTTATGTGGAAAACTTCAATTAATTAAAAGAGAGTTTGATTCTTTGCATAGTCAGATGTCAAATATGACTTCAAATAATCCAAGAATATTGGGCAAGGAACTTCAAAAGAGTTTGGCTCAGTATCGTATCTGTAGCAAAATTAGAGTTTAGTACATAGCTATCTCTTTTGTTGCTTAAAACCAATCTCTCTCTCTTCCCCCCACACACAAAAAATCCAGTATCTTAAATTTTAAAGTTATCCTCCTAAGTGCTCATAAACCAATATATGGGAATATAGTTCTTGAAATCTGAATGGCTGGTTGATGTATGAAAATTTGATAACTCATTAAAAATAACTTGTTACAAAATATTTTCTGTATGTACAATCTCATATAATTTCTACATGGCCTTGTCATACATCTTATATAGATGGGAAAATTGAGGCCCAGAAAGGTTAAGTAAATGTTTCACACAGTTAGTAGGTAGTCGAGCCAGGACTTAAATCCAGGTCTTCATAATGAATCTCATACTTTTTTTTTTTTTGAAACAGATTTACTCTGTTACCCAGGCTAGAGTCCAGAGATGCTATCTATCATAGCTTACTTAGCTTACTGCAGCCTCAACCTCCTGGGCCCAAGCAGTCCTTCTGCCTCAGTCTCCCAGATAGCTGGGACTACAGGTGTGCACCACCATGCCTGGCCAATTTTTCTTTTTTTAAATTTTTTGTAGAGACAAGGTCTCACTGTGTTCACACGCTGGTCTCGAACTCCTGGCGCAAGTGCTTCTCCTGCCTCGGCCTCCCAAAGAATCTCATGCTTTCAAAAAATGACATTGCCCTATTTTTCTCCTCTCTCTTTTTTGAAGCACAGAAATAGACATGGGCAAACTGAAGATGAACCCTATGAAGGAAATCCCCTTAATTCCTGGAGAACAAAAATGAACAAGTCACAAGAAAAATCAGCTTGCTCTTTGAAAGTATCGGGACTTTTATATTCTACTTTCCTTCTGTTTACATAACCATATCCTGTTCATTGGAGTCCCGCCTCCAATATTCCTTCACACTTGCTTCCGCTGCCTTCATTGTCACTGATACACTATACAGGGCATTGGTTTTTCCCATGATTTGTTACTTCTGTTAGACTAGACATTCTCTGAGGTCAGGGACCATGTGTGATACTTCTGTTTTGTACTTTAAAATGCATGGTTGTGGATTTGAAACTCAGAAGTGTATGGGTTGATTTCTTTTTCCTCCATAGCATATTTGAGTTGTTGAGACTCTGATTAAACCTCACTTTTTTTTTTTTTGAGACGGAGTCTCGCTCTGTCACCAGGCTGGAGTGCAGTGGCGTGATCTCAGTTCACTGCAACCTCCTGCTCCTGGGTTCAAGCGATTCTCCTGCCTCAGCCTCCTGAGTAGCTGGGACTACAGGCGCATGCCACCACGCCCAGCTAATTTTTGTATTTTTAGTAGAGACGGGGTTTCAACATGTTGGCCAAGATGGTCTCAATCTCTTGACCTTGTGATCCACGCGCCTCGGCCTCCCAAAGTGTAAACCTCACATTTAAAGCAAAGCAGGACCACCACATAGCATTAGGCAGGTTTTGCACTTAATCTAGGGTGCTACATGTAAGACGTGGCATTTGCATTGTGGATAGGTAAATTTATTATGTTTTTCTGGCAAATGACCATGAATGTATCGAGGAAGGGAAGCCAACTTTTAAATTCACTAAAGGCACCTAAGGATCAGTGCAAAAATCCTGACCACTGCCATGTAGAAAAGAGCTGTGTGTTATTGCCAACTTTAAATTTATCCAGAGAATGAGTCAAAATAAAAATGATATTTAAAGTCTGACTGAAAATAGCAATTATATTAGAGAAGAAATAATGAACCAAATCCCCAAAAATGAACATAAAACTTTTTATTATTTTTTTATTATACTTTAAGTTCTAGGGTACATGTGCACAACGTGCAGTTTGTTACATAGGTATTCATGTGCCATGTTGGTTTGCTACACCCATTAACTCGTCATTTACATTAGGTATTTCTAATGCTATCCCTCCCCTTGCCCCCCACCCCACAACAGGCCCCAAGGTGTGGTGTTCCCCGCCCTGTTTCCACGTGTTCTCATTGTTCAGTTCCCAATTGTGAGTGAGAACATGCGGTGTTTGGTTTTCTGTCCTTGCAATAGTTTGCTCGGAGTGATGGTTTCCAGCTGCATCCATGTCCCTGCAAAGGACATGAACTCATCCTTTTTTATGGCTGCATAGTATTCCATGGTGTATATGTGCCACATTTTCTTAATCCAGTCTATCATTGATGGACATTTGGGTTGGTTCCAAGTCTTTGCTATGGTGAATAGTGCCACAATAAACATACGTGTGCATGTGTCTGTATAGTAGCATGATTTGTAATCCTTTGGGTATATACCCAGTAATGGGATGGCTGGGTCAAATGGTATTTCTAGTTCTAGATCCCTGAGGATTTGCCACACTGTCTTCCACAATGGTTGAACTAGTTTACACTCCCAACAACAGTGTAAAAGCGTTCCTATTTCTCCACATCCTTTCCAGCATCTGTTGTTTCCTGACTTTTTAATGATTGCCATTCTAACTGGTGTGAGATGGCATCTCATTGTGGTTTTGATTTGCATTTCTCTGATGGCCAGTGATGATGAGCATTTTTTCATGTGTCTGTTGGCTGCATAAATGTCTTCTTTTGAGAAGTGTCTGTTCATATCCTTCGCCCACTTTTTGATGGGATTGTTTTTTTCCTGTGCATTTGCTTAAGTTCTTTGTAGATTCTGGATATTAGCCCTTTGTCAGATGGGTACATTGTAAAAATTTTCTCCCAGTCTGTAGGTTGTCTGTTCACTCTGATGGTAGTTTCTTTTGCTGTGCAGAAGCTCTTTAGTTTAATTAGATCCCATTTGTCCGAACATTCCATGCTCATGGGTAGGAAGAATCAATATCGTGAAAATGGCCATACTGCCCAAGGTAATTTATAGATTCAATGCCATCCCCATCAATCTACCAATGACTTTCTTCAAAGAATTGGAAAAAAGTACTTTAAAGTTCATATGGAACCAAAAAAGAGTCCACATTGCCAAGTCAATCCTAAGCGAAAAGAACAAAGCTGGAGGCATCATGCGACCTGACTTCAAACTATGCTACAAGGCTACAGTAACCAAAACAGCATGGTACTGGTACCAAAACAGAGATATATAGACCAATGGAACAGAACAGAGCCCTCAGAAATAATGCCGCATAACTACAACTATCTGTTCTTTGACAAACCTGACAAAAACAAGCAATGGGGAAAGGATTCCCTATTTAATAAATGGTGCTGGGAAAACTGGCTAGCCATATGTAGAAAGCTGAAACTGGATCCCTTCCTTACACCTTATAGAAAAATTAATTCAAGATGGATTAAAGACTTAAACGTTAGACCTAAAACCATAAAAACCCTAGAAGAAAACCTAGGCAATACCATTCAGAACATAGGCATGGGCAAGGACTTCATGTCTAAAACACCACAGGCAATGGCAACAAAAGCCAAAATTGACAAATGGGATCTAATTAAACTAAAGAGCTTCTGCACAGCAAAAGAAACCACCATCAGAGTGAACAGGCAACCTACAGAATGGGAGAAAATTTTCGCAACCTACTTATCTGACGAAGGGCTAATATCCAGAATCTACAATGAACTCAAACAAATTTACAAGAAAAAAACAACCCCATCAAAAAGTGGGTGAAGGATATGAACAGACACTTCTCAAAAGAAGACATTTATGCAGCCAAAAAACACATGAAAAAATGCTTATCATCACTGGCCATCAGAGAAATGGAAATCAAAACCACAGTGAGATACCATCTCACACCAGTTAGAATGGTGATCATTAAAAAGTCAGGAAACAACAGGTGCTGGAAAGGATGTGGAGAAATAGGAACACTTTTACACTGTTGGTGGGACTGTAAACTAGTTCAACCATCGTGGAAGTCAGTGTGGCGATTCCTCAGGGATCTAGAACTAGAAATACCATTTGACCCAGCCATCCCATTGCTGGGTATATACCCAAAGGATTATAAATCATGCTGCTATAAAGACACATGCACACATGTTTATTGAGGCACTATTCACCATAGCAAAGACTTGGAACCAACCCAAATGTCCATCAATGATAGACCGGATTAAGAAAATGTGGCACATATACACCATGGAATACTATGCAGCCATAAAAAAGGATGAGTTCATGTCCTTTGTAGGGACATGGATGAAGCTGGAAACCATCATTCTCAGCAAACTATTGCAAGGACAAAAAACCAAACACCGCATGTTCTCACTCATAGGTGGGAATTGAACAATGAGAACACATGGACACAGGAAGGGGAACATCACACTCTGGGGCCTGTTGTGGGGTGGGGGGAGGGGGGAGGGATAGCATTAGGAGATATACCTAATGTAAATGATGAGTAAAGGGTGCAGCACACCAACATGGCACATGTATACATATGTAACAAACCTGCACGTGGGGCACATGTACCCTAAAACTTAAAGTATAATAATAATAAAATTTAAAAAAAAAATCACAGTTTAACAAAAAAAAAAAAAAAATCCCATTTGTCAATTCTTGGCTTTTGTTGCCATTGCTTTTGGTGTTTTAGTCATGAAGTCCTTGTCCATGCCTGTGTCATGAATCGTATTGCATAGGTTTTCTTCTAGGGTTTTTATGGTTTTAGGTCTAACATGTAAGTCTTTAATCCATCTCGAATTAATTTTTATGTAAGGTGTAAGGAAGGGATCCAGTTTCAGCTTTCTACATATAGCTAGCCAGTTTTCCCAGACCATTTATTAAAAAGGGAATCCTTTCCCTATTTCTTGTTTTTGTCAGGTTTGTCAAAGATCAGATGGTTGTTGATGTGTTACTTCTGAGGACTTTGTTCTGTTCCATGGGTCTATGTATCTGTTTTGGTACCAGTGCCATGCTGTTTTGGTTACTGTAGCCTTGTAGTATAGTTTGAAGTCAGGTCGCATGATGCCTCCAGCTTTTTTCTTTTTGCTTAGGATTGTCTTGGCAATGTGGACTCTTTTTTGGTTCCATATGAACTTTAAAGTAGTTTTTTCCAATTCTGTGAAGAAAGTCATTGATAGCTTGATGGGTATGGCATTGAATCTATAAATTACCTTGGGCGGTACGGCCATTTTCATGATACTGATTCTTCCTATCCATGGGCATGGAATATTCTTCCATTTGTTTGTGTCCTCTTTTATTTTGTTGAGCCGTGGTTTGTAGTTGTCCTTGAAGAGGTCCTTCACATCCCATGTAAGTTGGATTCCTAGGTACTTTATTCTCTTTGAAGCAATTGTGAATGGGAGTTCACTCATGATTTGGCTCTGTGTGTCTGTTCTTGGTGTATAGGAATGCTGGTGATTTTTGCACATTCATTTTTGTATCCTGAGAGTTTGCTGAAGTTGCTTATCAGCTTAAGGAGATTTTGGGCTGAGATGATGGGGTTTTCTAAATATACAGTCATGTCATCTGCAGACAGGAACAATTTGACTTCCTCTTTTCCTAATCGAATACACTTTATTTCTTTCTCTTGCCTGATTGCCCTGGTCAGAACTTCCAACACTGTGTTGAATAGGAGTGGTGAGAGAGGGCATCCCTGTCTTGTGCCAGTTTTCAAAGGGAATGCTTCCAATTTTTGCCCATTCAGTATGATATTGACTATGGGTTTGTCATAAATAGCTCTTATTATTTTGAGATACATCTCATCAATACCTAGTTTACTGAGAGTTTTTAGCATGAAAGGGTGTTGGATTTTGTCGAAGGCCTTTTCTGCATCTATTGAGATAATCATGGGGTTTTTGTCCTTGGTTCTGTTTTTGTGATAGATTAAGTTTATTGATTTGTGTATGTTGAACCAGCCTTGCATCCCAGGGATGAAGCCAACTTGATCGTGGTGGATAAGCTTTGGTATCAGGATGATGCTGGCCTCATAAAATGAGTTAGGAAGGATTCCTTCTTTTTCTATTGATTGTAATAGTTTCAGAAGGAATGGTACCAGCTCTTCTTTGTACCTCTGGTAGAATTCAGCTGTGAATTCCTCTGGTCCTGGACTTTTTTTGGTTGGTAGGCTATTAATTATTGCCTCAATTTCAGAACCTCTTATTGGTCTATTCAGAGATTCAACTTCTTCCTGGTTTAGTCTTGGGAGGGTGTATGTGTCCAGGAATTTATCCATTTCTTCTAGATTTTCTAGTTTATTTGCATAGAGGTGTTTATAGTATTCTCTGATGGTAGTTTGTATTTCTGTGGGATCAGTGGTGATATCCCCTTTATCATTTTTTATTGCGTCTACTTGATTCTTCTCTCTCTTCTTCTTTATTAGTCTTGCTAGCAGTCTAGCAATTTTGTTGATCTTTCCAAAAAACTAGCCCCTGGATTCATTGATTTTTTTCTGAAGGGTTTTTTGTGTCTCTGTCTCCTTCAGTTCTGCTCTGATCTTAGTTATTTCTTGCCTTCTGCTAGCTTTTGAATTTGTTTGCTCTTGCATCTCTAGTTATTTTAATTGTGATGTTAGGGTGTCAATTTTAGATCTTTCTTGCTGTCTCTTGTGGGCATTTAGTGCTGTAAATTTCCCTCCACACATTGCTTTAAATGTGTCCCAGAGATTCTGGTACCTTGTGTCTTTGTTCTCATTGGTTTCAAAGAACATCTTTATTTCTGCCTTCACTTTGTTATTTACCCAGTAGTCATTCAGGAGCACGTTGTTCAGTTTCCATGTAGTTGCGTGGTTTTGAATGAGTTTCTTAATCCTGAGTTCTAATTTGATTGCACTGTGTTCTGAGAGACAGTTTGTTGTGATTTCTGTTCTTTTATATTTGCTGAGGAGTGCTTTACTTCCAACTATGGTCAATTTTGGAGTAAGTGTGATGTGGTTCTGAGAAGAATGTATATTCTGTTGCTTTGGGGTGGAGAGTTCTGTAGGTGTCTATTAGGTCTGCTTGGTCCAGAGCTGAGTTTAAGTCCTGGATATCCTTGTTAATATTCTGGCTTGTTGATCTAATATTGGCAGTTGGGTGTTAAAGTCTGCCACTACTATTGTATGGGAGTCTAAGTCTCTTTGTAGGTCTCTAAGAACTTGCTTTATGGATCTGGGTGCTCCTGTATTGGGTGCATATATATTTAGGATAGTTAGCTCTTCTTGTTCAATCGATTCCTTTACCATTAGGCAATGGCCTTCTTTGTCTCTTTTGATCTTTGCTGGTTTAAAGTCTGTTTTATCAGAGACTAGGATTGCAACCCCTACTTTTTTCCTGCTTTCCATTTGCTTGGTAGATCTTCCTCCATCCCTTTATTTTGAGCCTGTGTGTGTCTCTGCATGTGAGATGGGTCTCCTGAATACAGCACACTGATGGGTCTTGAATCTTTATTCAATTTGCCAGTCTGTGTCTTTTAATTGGGGCATTTAGCCCTTTTACATTTAAGATTAATATTGTTGTATGTGAATTTGATCCTGTCATTATGATGTTAGCTGGTTATTTTACCCGTTAGTTGATGCAGTTTCTTCCTAGCATTGATGAGCTTTACAATTTGGCATGTTTTTGCAGTGGCTGGTACTGGTTGTTCTTTTCCATGTTTAGTGCTTCCTTCAGGAGCTCTTTCAAGGCAGGCCTGGTGGTGACAAAATCTCTCAGCATTTGCTTGTGTGTAAAGGATTTTATTTTTCCTTCACTTATGAAGCTTAGTTTGGCTGGATATGAAATTCTGGGTTCAAAATTCTTTTCTTTAAGAATGTTGAATATTGGCCCCCACTGTTTTCTGGCTTGTAGAGTTTCTGCCGAGAGATCGGCTGTTAGTCTGATGGGCTTCCCTTTGTGGGTAACCTGACCTTTCTGGCTGCCCTTAACATTTTTTCTTTCATTTCAACATTGGTGAGTCTGACAATTATGTGTCTTGGGGTTGCTCTTCTTGAGGAGTATCTTTGTGGCATTCTCTGTGTTTCCTGAATTTGAATGTTGTCCTGCCTTGCTAGGTTGGGGAAGTTCTCCTGGATAATATCCTAAAGAGTGTTTTCGTTTTCCAACTTGGTTCCATTCTCCCTGTCACTTTCAGGTACACCAATCAGACGTAGATTTGGTCTTTTACCATAGTCCCATATTTCTTGGAGGCTTTGTTTATTTCTTTTTACACTTTTTTCTCTAAACGTCTCTTCTTGTTTTATTTCATTAATTTGATCTTCAATCACTGATACCCTTGCTTCCACTTGATCGAATTGGCTATTGAAGCTTGTGTGTGTGTCACATGGTTCTCGTGCCATGGTTTTCAGTTCCATCAGGTCATTTAAGGTCTTCTCTACACTGTTTATTCTAGTTGGCCATTTGTCTAATCTTTTTTCAAGGTTTTTAGCTTCCTTGCGATGGGTTCGAACATCCTTCTTTAGCTCGGAGTAGTTTGTTATTACTGACCTTCTGAAGCCTACTTCTGTCAGCTTCTCAAAGTCATTCTCCGTCCAGCTTTGTTCTGTTGCTGGTGAGGCGTGTGATCCTTTGGAAGAGCAGAGGTGCTCTGATTTTTAGAATTTTCAGCTTTTCTGCTCTGGTTTCTCCCCATCTTTGTGGTTTTATTTACGTTTGGTCTTTGATGTTGGTGACCTACAGATGGGGTTTTGGTGTGGATGTCCTTTTTGTTGATGTTGATGCTATTCCTTTCTGTTTGTTAGTTTTCCTTCTAACAGTCAGGTCCCTCAGCTGCAGGTCTGTTGGAGTTTGCTGGAGGTCCACTCCAGACCCTGTTTGCCTGGGTATCACTAGCAGAGGCTGCAGAACAGCAAATATTGCTGCCTGATCCTTCCTCTGGAAGCTTTGCCCCAGAAGGGCAGCTGCCTATATGAGGTGTCAGTCGGCCCCTACTGGGAGGTGTCTCCCAGTTAGGCTACACGGAGGTCAGGGACCCACTTGAGGAGGCAGTCTGTCCTTTCTCCCAGCTCAAACACCGTGCTGGGAGAACTACTGCTCTCTTCAGAGCTGTCAGAGAGGGACGTTTAAGTCTGCAGAGTTTCTGATGCCTTTTATTCAGCTATGCCCTGTTCCCAGAGGTGGAGTCTACAGAGGCAGCAGGCCTTGCTGAGCTGCGGTGGGCTCTGCCCAGTTTGAGATTCCTGGGCTGCTTTGTTTACCTACTCAAGCCTCAGCAATGGCGGATGCCCCTCCCCCTGCCAGGCTGCTGCCTCATAAGTCGATCTCAGACTGCTGCGCTAGCAGTGAGCAAGGCTCCATGGGCGTGGGACCCACTGAGCCAGGCACAGGATATAATCTCCTGGTGTGCCATTTGCTAAGACTGTTGGAAAAGTGCAGTATTTGGGCGAGAGTGTCCCGTTTTTCTGGGTACCGTCTGTCACGGCTTCCGTTGACTAGGAAAGGGAAATCCCCTGACCCCTTGTGCTTCCCGGGTGAGGCGATGCCCTGCCCTGATTCGGCTTGGCCTCCATGGGCTGTACCCACTGTCCAACCAGTCCCAATGAGATGAGCCAGGTACCTCAGTTGGAAATGCAGAAATCACCCGTCTTCTGCGTCAATCACGCTGGGAGCTGCAGACTGGAGCTGTTCCTATTCGTCCATCTTGGAACGGAAATCCAAAAAACTTTTTTTAAAAAATTACTTTTACAGGTTTGAAACAAGTTTATAGGAAATCAGAATATTATCTTTAAAAAAAGGTTCTAGATTTTAGTAAGAAACAATCATAAAGTAACATTTATAAAACTGTTTTAAGTGTTGCATAAGTATTGAGATCAAAACCTTAACTTTTTCTAAGAAATAGACTCATAAAAATAAGAGATATAGGCCTATCCTGGAAGCTTTGTAAATTAATTCAAAAGTCTTTTCTCAGATGTTGTAAGTAATAATTGGGCTGTCTTAATGCACTGAAAAAATAACAGTCGAAATGAAAACTTGATAGCTATTTCATAGATTTGAAATAATTAGAAGCAAAATTCTAAGTGGTTAGTAGCTATAATATAATTTAAAATACAGAAACCTTAAAGTGTTGCGTTAAGTATCTAATGGACAGTGCTGAAAAGATTCATTTGTTTCTCTTTTAAGGAGTTAGTTGTAACTACTTAGTTTTGCAGTAGCCTTTATCTTCACAACTGTAGAAGCCACATTAAAATTTTATGATGGCCTCTTCACATTAGTGTCCTAACTGAAGGGCAAGGTAGGATTGTGGCTGAACTGACAAGAATATATCTTTAACAATGTGCCATCTATTTATCATTGTTTAAAAATATTCATGCTAAAGAATGACACGCTGAAGTGAGAGTGAAATTTTGCAACCAATGGATGTGTTTCTCATTTTGCGGTGGTGATGCAAATTGTCAGGTAACTCATTCTGTGTCCTTGGGCAGCAGCCGAGAAATTGCTGTGTGACTGCAGTGAGAATGAGCTCGGTATTTGAGTCACTGAATTCAGTTGCATCTTACTCTGTGCCAGCTAATCTGACATTTCAGTGTTTCCTGTGGAGATTTTGATGTTTGCATTCTGATGCTAAAACTGTCAGCTTTTAGCAAAGTTTGATATTGGAAATGGCTAATATCATTTGAAAAAAAATTTTGTTTTGCTGCCACTCTCACCCCCACCAAATTGAAGATTCCATCTGCTATTTTATCTCTTATGAAGGGTTACATTTCTTAGTTCAGTATCAGCAAAAATTTCTCTCCTGAAAAACTGACATCTTTCTTTTAGATAATGAATATAAATAAGTCAGCCTGACCTTTTTCCCTGTCATGTGTATCAAGAAGACAAGGGCCAAGTTTTATGCTTCACTCTGATAGCTTAGTCTACACCATCAAATCTTGGCTTTTGTTTTCAGTTCTAGTAAATCCATATTTTTGTGGGGACTAAATTGGATATAAAGAATGATTGATAAAAAGGAAGTGTAATAGAATTTTTCATACAACCTGGTAAACCATTTTTGAAATTCATTGGTAAAAGGATAGAACAGTCTAGAAAATTCTGAAAAAAAAATAATGAGAAGGGACTTGTCCTAACAGAAGTCATTAAGGTAACCATAATTAACACAGGGCAGCATTGAATATATTGTGCTTTTTGAAATTATTTTTGTGTAACTATGTTGGCATCCTTCTGATGGTCCTCCAAGTGAGAGCTACTGGTGTCTTTACAGATTTCTTTGTAAGGTAGAACCTGAAGTATAAGGTCTTTACTCAGTTCTTTTGCCTCAAGGTGCAGACCATGCCCGGCCCAGTAGTTCCTCCTTGTGTGAATGAGTAGGGTGGATGTTCCCAGAGAACCCTGATTGCCAGAAGGCAAGGCAGAACTAGTTTGACTGCTTGGTTTAGCTCATCATCTACACTCTGGCATTTGTCTCCCCTCTAGGAATAACTTTCCAGGGAGTTTACTGAAAACTTGGTTTACTCTAACCCAGGAAGTGCTTCCCGTCTCTCTGCAAACATGAATCCTGTGCTGGATACTTCAGCCTTCACCCACTTACTTTAGAGCAGTAGAGAAAGCCCTTAGGTTTAGGGATCTTGGGCAGAATCCTATAAATAACATTCGTTTTACTTGCCATCCTCCGTGCTGGGATGTGGAAACGGAGACACAGAGACAGATTGTTTTATTGAATTGAGTCCCTTCAGTAGTGTTCACACAAATTCCTGGTTAAGCTTTAATGGCAGCTTACTGAAATCAGCATATTTCTGGTGATGGTTTTTTCTCTCTCTCTCCTTCCTTTTAGATCTGACCAGTAGGATCTATGAGAGGAGGGATTACATCCTGTTTACTGTTGTATCCTCAGGGGGTGGCAGGTTGCCTGGCACAGAGTGGGTGCTCCGTGCATACTATTCACCTGACTGACTTTTGTCCGTCTGCCTGACCATGCAGGAATCCTCACACTTCTTTATCAGACATGGCTTTTATTTAGAACTGCCTTATCATATCTTAGATAAGAATGCTAGGAACATCTTGTGTTTCTTTCCTCTAGTTGATACAGATCCAAAAAATTACCATCAACCAATTTGTCTAGTGGTAAGCTCTCTACGTTGTTCCTTTTTTTAACTAGGGAGGAATATTCTTCAATTAAGACAAATTCATATCAATTATCTGTTTCATTTTTGTTATTTTGTGAGAAAGGCATATTCTTAAAAGTTGACTTTTTTAAGGCCATTAGAATTATGCTAGAAATAATCGTTAATTTTTTAATTCTAAGAGTAAGTAATAACCCTATAATCCTCAATTTCTTTGCCAATTTTGTGTAAAACTGGGATATATTTGGAAGTATTTCATGATCAGTATGGTGTTTACAATTGTCATTGCTCTATAATTGGCTTACCCTTTTGCTTTTCTTTGCTTATAGTTTAAATACTTTCTACTCCAGTTTTGAAACACTGATGAGAATAGTGAAAACTAAATCCAATGCCATTTCCGTGTGTTATCTAGCTGTTTTATGGGATTTTAAAAATTGAGCTTCTTTTTATTAATAATTGGAAAGCCCATGTAAAAGGAGTTAAAAAAATTGAGTTTTTAAAATTTAGTTTTTATTATCAGGTTTATATGTGCATACATTACAAGTCAAATAGTTGTATAAATTGCTATGAAAAACAGCGGACTTCCATGCACTCCTTAAAAGCAATCACTTACTACTGTTAGCTGGTAAGTTTTACTTACCTTCATGGCTCTGAATGATAACGCTTCTGTTGCTGTCACTTGATATTTCAGTTTTAGGCATTTTCTGTTGACCTCTATAGAAGATGAGGATTTAGCTCTTTTCACTCCTGCCCCATGCTTGTCTCCCCTTTCTCTCTATAAAGTGTTATCATAATCTTAGCTTAGTATTCAGGGTTTATTTTGTTGTGACTACATAAAGGCTATTCACTGGTGAGACATGTAGAAAACCATGATTACCTTGTCTTTTCTACACAAGGTAATCATGTCTTGTCAGAAGTTAAAAATTGTTGGTATGCATGCACCCACATTTGCAATTAGTTTCTCTTCATACCACTTAGTAATTCAATCTCAAAATCTCAAATGTTCCTTCAGCTGTGTAAATCTCCTCTCAATACATTGAAACTCGTTGGAAATTCTTTCAGTTTTATCTTAAAGAAATCTTCCCTGAAGCCTTCTGACATGCCTTTCCTGTCTACTGCACAGCTGCCACTTTGTTCTCTCCTTTTCACCATCGTCCTCTCTCATGTTAAATGTTAAAATTCTTTTTTTTTTTTTTTCCTTTGAGACAGTCTCACTCTGTTGCCCAGGCTGGAGTGCAGTGGTGCGATCTCAGCTCACTGCAACCTCCACCTGCCAGGTGCAAGTGATTCTCATGACTCAGCCTCCCGAGTAGCTGGGACTACAGGTGTGCGCTACCACGCCTGGCTAATTTTTGTATTTTTAGTAGAAACAGGGTTTCACCATATTGGCCAGGCTGGTCTTAAACTCCTGGCCTCAGGTGATCTGCCCTCCTTGGCCTCCCAAAGTCCTGGGATTACAGGCGTGAGCCACCACTCCAGGCCTCTCATGTTAAATTCTGTTGTGTAGACTTTGTTGGTTCAGTCACTCAATTTGGTAGAAGACCTCTTTCAGTAGACTTGGGGGAGGGGGAAGTATATATATGAGTGGTATACATTTTTCAAAGACAACAGTGGGTAGTTTAGTTGCATTGACTACATCAATAACTAGAGAGAGAATTTTTGAGTTGTTTCTCCATCGTATTTTAAGTCCCATTGTTTGTTTGTTTGTTTTTTGAAATGGAGTCTGGCTCTGTCACCCAGACTGGAGTGCAGTGGCCTGATTTCAGCTCACTGCAACCCCCACCTCCCAGGTTCAAGCAATTCTCCTGCCTCAGCCTCCCAAGTAGCTGGGATTACAGGCATGCGCCACCACACCTGGCTAATTTTTGTATTTTTTAGTAGATATGGGGTTTTGCTGTGTTGGCCAGGCTGGTCTTGAACTCCTGACCTCAGGTGATCCACCTGCCTCAGCCACCCTAAGTGCTAGGATTACAGGCGTGAGCCACGACGCCCAGCCTCTCGAGTATTTTCTTAACTTGATCTTTTAAATGTTCTTTTGAGGTTTCTCTTTCTGCTGTTTTAATTCTTTAATTTCCAAGAACTATACTTTATTTGCTGAATTTCCTCCTTTAATAAAAATGCAGCTGGGCATGGTGACTCACGCCTGTAATCCCAGCACTTTGAAAGGAGGCCGAGGTGGGTGGATCACTTGAAGTCAGGAGTTCGAGACCAGCCTGGCCAATATGGCGAAACCCCATCTCTACTAAAAATACAAAAATTAGCCGGGTATGGTGGCGTGTACCTGCAATCCCAGCTACTCGGGAGGCTGAGGCAGGAGAATTGCTTGAACCCGGGAGGTGGAGGTTGCAGTGAGCTGAGATCATGCCACTGCATTCCAGCCTGGGTGACAGAACGAGACTCTGTCTCAAAAAAAAAAAAATTATATGTATATATATTTATGTATGTTTTATAACACCTGTAGATATTTTTATGTAACACAAACATGCCACAAGTTCATGTTTGAAACCAACAACTCCAGTGCCACACTTAAGGTTATGTTCTCATCTTCCACATTTCTGTAACTGATTATCTAACAGGAGGAACCTGTCAGCCATTATTTCACTATATTTAATCATTTACTCCAGCCTAGAATACACAGAAAGTAGTAGTTTTAAACTGTTATTCCATACCACTGCAAAAAGTAAATCTACTCTAGTTCCATACTTGTTTATAGTTCTTTTTAAAATAAAATTTTAAATGAAATACATGTATCCTATGTGCACACTTTCAGGAGTTTTGACAATACACAGACCTATTAACTCATACTTCTATAAAGATATAAAACATTTCCATCACACCAGCAAGTTCTCTCATGCTTTCTCTTAGCCATGGAGAGAATTTGAAAGCTCTAATATACACACAGATATTTTGAGAGTAACAGACTCAGAAAAAAACATGTTTAAGGTATGTTCTGTTATAAATTCCTTTTTACGCATTTACTTGGGAGACACCACTCATGATTTAATTTTTTCTTCAGTTATTTCTAGATAACAGACAAATGCTTCTTTCAGTGCTGAAAATTCCAATGCTCACTTCAAGGCTAGAGCAAGTTGGCTCTGTGTGTGTACAAATATAAATGCGTGCATCTTTCTCGTGTGTTAGCAGGGATGGGATGTAGTGAAAAGGGGCAGTTAGGATGATACCCAAAGGTATATCAGGAATCTTATTTCGTGTCAATCAATACCTTTTTACGTAATTTAAAAAAGAGTTCTCCCTAAAGATTGGATGAGTCTATAGGGAATCACTCGGATAATAAGAAACAGTATAGTCCAGTCTTTGGTTGTAAAGTAACCTTGGGAAAAGATACCCAATGTCAGTTATTTCCAGTTTTCCCATGGAGTTGGGGAAAGCACCTACTGGAACTTTAAGCCCCACTTGATGCAGCCCTGTTGCCTTTTTCAAGCATGTCTAAGACAGAGTGATTCAGAGACTGGATGATTATCTGAGATCACGCTGGGCCTTCTGAAAAGTGTGTCCATTCCTTTCTGTATCTGCATGTATGATGATCCACAGGTAAAGTGCCCAAAATATGAAATGAATATTTTTAGTGAAATTTGTTTAGAACACCAAGTGAATATTCTTACTCAGAAAGAAGGAAAAGACTTACTTGAAAAGCAGCTCTATAATTAAGAAAACCTGATTATCTTAACATTGCCAATGCAACATACCCTTACATCTCCCACTTTGGATCTAGTCATAAAAGCAAGCTAATTATGTCGCATTAGAAGTTTCAGCTATTTTGATTTTTACTTTATTTCATCATCTTTAGTAATAAAATATAATACATTTTTTCCAGATCATTTAGCTCAATTTCTCCCAGGCATCATATCATAGATATGAAGTCAATGGGCAGAATTTAAGTCTGTGTAAATTTTCCTAGTGCTGCCTCTGTGCCTTTCGGATGCTATATAGTCCAGTCAGTCCAAGGGTAATGTTAGCACTCTAGAAGTACTTGTCACCTTGACTTGTTCCTTGACATGAATTATTGGCAAAGGGTTACTCAGTCTCACTAGAGAAGAAAAGCCTGTGGGAAGAGGTATAGCCTTAGTTCTGGTATAGCTCAATGCTTCCATGCCTGCTGCCTACTAGCCTGTCACTTCTCTTTCAAATTCAGCAGATCCTTGAGAATTTCTAAAACAGAGTATTTAGCATGGAATACAGTCTACGTGGATATTGGGCATTCAGTAAATATCTGTCTAAAAAATTGCTTCATAGATTCTGTGAAGGCTGTCAAAAAGTGTAGTTTTGTTGTGAGGGTTACAGTGGGGTCCAGTTTGCATATGTTATTCAGGAATGTCATAATAGGCCTAGTGGCCTGCTAGCCTCAGATTTCCAAAGCTTTTCAAGAGAACTGTGAAGGGCACAATGAAGCCCACTGTCATATTACTAGACACTGGTATTAAAAACAGGGAGGACCAGCCTGGCCAATATGGTGAAACCCCGTCTCTACTAAAAATACAAAAGTTAGCCGGGTGTGGTGGCGCATGCCTGTTGTAGTCCCAGCTACTCAGGAGGCTGAGGCAGAAGAATCACTTGAACCCGGGAGGCGGAGGTTGCAGTGAGCCAAGATTGCGCCACTGCACTCCAGCCTGGGTGACAGAATGAGACTTGTCTCAAAAAAAAAAGGAGGGAAAGGCAGCCCCCTCAATAATCCCTGGAGAGAAAGCCTCAAGAAGACAGAGTAGCTCAGCCTGAAGTGAGGATGGAAGGGAGAGGCCTCCGGAAAAATTCTCTTTCTTTTTTTTTTTTTAAGGAGAGATGTATGGTCTTTATTAAGGTTGCGTGATCCAAACCAGATCCCAAATAATATCAAATACCAAAAAGAGAGAGGCTCAGCCAGAGAGAAGACTCACCAGGGAAGAACAGGCAAGCCTTGGAAGCAGAGAGCTCAAAGGGCTCTAGTGGGTCCTGCACACCAGTTCCAAGAATTGCCAATCCCTTCCAATAGTGTTCTTTTTCAGGTTTCATTTCTGACACCATTTATTCCAACCGAAATAACAAACATTTGGAGAGGAGGTGGTGTAAATTATTCAACTCGGAAAATATAAATGCAAACATACTAAATAAATTCATTGGGAAATTAGTCCAGTTGATATATGTGGTCATGAATATAAATGAAGACCATGCCTCATGGTTGTTGGTTTTGTCCCAGCCATGTTCCCTTATTCTGTAGGCATGGAACAGGGAGACGGTTGCCTTCATCTCATACATGTTTGCAGAAAGAAAGTGGGCCAAGGGAGTGAGGTAGTGCAGGGGAGAGATGATAATTAACCACGGAATCTGCACTAGGTAAAGAAACATGCAAGAGCATGTCAGGGGTGGTGGCTGTAAAAAAATGATAGCGTCAATAAACTGGAAGACCTTATCATATCTGAAGAAATATTGGGGTTATTGAAAAGGTGAACTGAAAGAAGAAAGTAATCAAAGAATGGAAAATTAGAAAAAGCAATTTGAGCAATAGTACAATTATGGTGATGATGAGGTCTAGAGCATCATTGTCCAATGATTATTTAAATTTAAATTAAATAAAATAAAAAATTCAACTCCTCAGTTGCACTAGGCACATTTCAGGTGCACCACAACTATATGTGGCTAGTGGCTACTATATTGGACAGCATAGAGAGAGATTTCCATCATCACAGAAGTTCCATAGAATAGCATTGTTTTGGTATGACTGTGGGAGTGAATAGCTGAGGAGAAGAGCAGAAAAGGTTTATTTGAGGTTAGAATGGAGGAGATTGTAGGGTCATCTTGACCAATGATAAAATCACCAATAATTGAGATAAGAGTAGGGGTGGGGGTAATATCAGAGGGAGCCCTGTTTGTCACCTGGCCCTTGGGGAGACGAGTTCTAGTGAGGAAATTGTAGAGAAAAGATGAACTTCTGTAAACTTCTGTTTTCCACTAGTCCTTAGGGTCACCACCTAATCATTAGCATGCCTAGCCCCAGCCCCACCTACCAGTAAGGCCAGCCTCTTATCCTTCACCTGGGGCTGCACTACATTGCTCCCAGGAGAATCAGCCAAATATTGCCTTTCCATCTAGGTGCTTGCCAAAGAGGAAACTGAGGCATCCCAAACCCCAGCCGACCTTGATTCTAGGTTGACAGAGCAGGGCCCAATAGTCCATCCATATGTGCAGAGGTGCCCAGAATCTTCAGGAAGATGGAGCCCAACTGCCTCCCAGATCCCCCGGTGAGAAGAAAATAAGGCTGGGGATGGGAACTGGGATTTCTGGCTCTGTCATATATCAGAGCAGACTGGGGCTTCCTATGGCCATTGTCAGTCCAAAACAGGGTCCTTGGACACAGGGGGCAAACCTCACTGAAATTCTTTCTCAGGGAGAAGAGGAGGCAGCAAGGTCCAAGTCTCAAGAATCCCATTAGCTGGGGGAGCCCATGAGACACACCAGACCAGGTTAGACCTTTAATAGGGACAGTAGACACAGTGCCCTTCTTGCCAGCCCTTAGGAGTTGATGATCTCAATGTGGAACTGCAGTTGCCATCCACAGTCCCTTCTCATTATCATCAGCATGGCAAAGCAGGGAGGACCATGACGGTGCATCCCCATATCACTCTCTAGTGTCTGGTGAGATTTAGCACTTCCTCTCTTCCCTTGACTCGGTGCCTCACAAAGCCTTAGGAAAAGACACAGATGTCTTTATTTAGGTCTTCTTAAACTTCTTTTTTTTTTTTTTAATTTATTTTTTATTGATCATTCTTGGGTGTTTCTCACAGAGGGGGATTTGGCAGGGTCATAGGACAATAGTGGAGGGAAGGTCAGCAGATAAACAAGTGAACAAAGGTCTCTGGTTTTCCTAGGCAGAGGACCCTGCGGCCTTCCGCAGTGTTTGTGTCCCTGGGTACTTGAGATTAGGGAGTGGTGACGACTCTTAACAAGCATGCTGCCTTCAAGCGTCTGTTTAACAAAGCACATCTTGCACCGCCCTTAATCCATTTAACCCTGAGTGGACACAGCACATGTTTCAGAGAGCACAGGGTTGGGGGTAAGGTCACAGATCAACAGGATCCCAAGGCAGAAGAATTTTTCTTAGTACAGAACAAAATGAAAAGTCTCCCATGTCTACTTCTTTCTACACAGACACGGCAACCATCCGATTTCTCAATCTTTTCCCCACCTTTCCCCCCTTTCTATTCCACAAAGCTGCGATTGTCATCCTGGCCCGTTCTCAATGAGCTGTTGGGCACACCTCCCAGACAGGGTGGTGGCCGGGCAGAGGGGCTCCTCACTTCCCAGTAGGGGCGGCCGGGCAGAGGTGCCCCTCACCTCCCAGACGGGGCGGCTGGCCGGGCGGGGGGCTGACCCCCCCACCTCCCTCCCGGACGGGGCGGCTGGCCGGGCGGGGGGCTGACCCCCCCACCTCCCTCCCGGACGGGGCGGCTGGCCGGGCGGGGGGCTGACCCCCCCACCTCCCTCCCGGACGGGGCGGCTGGCCGGGCGGGGGGCTGACCCCCCCACCTCCCTCCCGGACGGGGCGGCTGGCCGGGCAGAGGGGCTCCTCACTTCCCAGTAGGGGCGGCCGGGCAGAGGCGCCCCTCACCTCCCGGATGGGGCAGCTGGCCGGGCGGGGGGCTGACTCCCCCACCTCCCTCCCAGACCGGGCGGCTGGCCGGGCGGGGGGCTGACCCCCCACCTCCCTCCTGGACGGGGCGGCTGGCCGGGCGGGGGGCTGACCCCCCCACCTCCCTCCCGGACGGGGTGGCTGCCGGGCGGAGAGGCTCCTCACTTCTCAGACGGGGCAGCTGCTGGGCAGAGGGGCTCCTCACTTCTCAGACGGGGCGGTTGCCAGGCAGAGGATCTCCTCACTTCTCAGACGGGGTGGCTGGGCAGAGACGCTCCTCACCTCCCAGACGGGGTCGCGGCCGGGCAGAGGCGCTCCTCACATCCCAGATGGGGCGGCGGGGCAGAGGCGCTCCCCACATCTCAGACGATGGGCGGCCGGGCAGAGACGCTCTTCACTTCCTAGATGGGATGGCGGCCGGGAAGAGGTGCTCCTCACTTCCTAGATGGGATGGCGGCCGGACGGAGACGCTCCTCACTTCCCAGACTGGGCAGCCAGGCAGAGGGGCTCCTCACATCCCAGACGATGGGCAGCCAGGCAGAGACGCTCCTCACTTCCCAGACGGGGTGGCGGCCGGGCAGAGGATGCAATCTCGGCACTTTGGGAGGCCAAGGCAGGCGGCTGGGAGGTGGAGGTTGTAGCGAGCCGAGATCATGCCACTGCACTCCAGCCGGGGCACCATTGAGCACTGAGTGAACGAGACTCCGTCTGCAATCCCGGCACCTTGGGAGGCCGAGGCTGGCGGATCACTCGCGGTTAGGAGCTGAAGACCGGCCAGGCCAACACAGCGAAACCCCGTCTCCACCAAAAAAAATACGAAAACCAGTCAGGCGTGGCAGCGCGTGCCTGCAATCGCAGGCACTCGGCAGGCTGAGGCAGGAGAATCAGGCAGGGAGGTTGCAGTGAGCCGAGATGGCAGCAGTACAGTCCAGCTTCGGCTGGGCATGAGAGGGAGACCGTGGAAACAGAGGGAGAGGGAGACGGTGGGGAGACGGGAGAGGGAGAGGGAGAGGGAGAGCTGGATTTCAAAGCTTCCCAAATTCTCTTTCAATTATGATCTGGGCCCTTGATTTTTCTTATTGCTGGTGAGGCCTGGTTACAAAGGATTTGTCCGAGAACATCAAGCTGAGACTTCTTATTGAGTTCGTTTCCTTTTAAAATACATATATGCAGTTGTTCTTTCCATAGTCAAATGGTTAATTTTATTTTCTCTAAATTGGTAACAAAGAAATAATTGTGAAAATATATCCATAGACCAATATATATTCAGCTGTTCTGAATACAGTAAATTAGCTATTCTCTATCAGCCAAATGTTGTCAGAATAAATAGGCTAGGCATTAATCATTTATGAAGGATGCTTAAATTTTGACTTTTGGATGAAAAAGTGTTGAATGTCCTTGACATTTAATATATTTTTAAAAACCTTTCACTTCATCTGGGGAAAAAAGGTGAAAGTAGAGAAGGTCTTCTCAACAATGGATATTTAATTAAGCTCTGTCGTCCAAGAACAGAATTGAATATCGTGGGTTACAGTGTTAACCTTCAACAGGTTAAGTTGAAGCCTTACTTAATCAAGTGTTGAGCTTTGCTTAGGTTTGAATATCAAATCAGGTGAAACTTGTTTTGCATAGTTTCCATTTAAAGCCCCATCCCACCCCTCCCAGCTTTGTTTGATCCTCCTCTTCAGCCTCCTTTGGCTGTGTGTCTTATGCGATTGAAAACATCTTGGGAGTTATGAAGACCACCGAAACGACAGGAAACAACTTTGCAACCTTTACTCTTTTTTCTGAATCTAAATTTTTTTCAGCTCCAAAGTATGTGGTTTTAGAGTATCTGAGGCCTTTATACTTCAGTAGTGTTGAGGGAAGTCTGTCTAGAAGGTCCTTGGAGGTAGCTCTGCTTTTTGAATGTTTTTTGCTGGATCCTGTGAGTGATCTTGAGGATTCAGAATCTTGGTTTTGTAAGTTCCCTTGGGTAGTCTGGCCCTAGAGAAAACTAGGCTGTGCTGGCCAAACGTATACCTTTTATTAAAATCATGTTAATATTTATTTATTTATTTTTTTAAGACAGAATCTCGCTCTGTCGCCCAGGCTGGAACAGTGGCACAATCTTGGCTCACTGCAACCTCTACCTCCCAGGTTCAAGCAATTCTCCTGCCTCAGCCTCCCAAGTAGCTGGGATTACAGGCGCCTACCACCATAGCCAGCTAATTTTCTGTATTTTTAGTAGAGATAGGGTTTCACCATGTTGGTCAGGCTGGTCTCAGACTCCTGACCTCAAGCAGTCCGCTCACCTCAGCCTCTCAAAGTGCTGGGATTACAGGCATGAGCCACCGCACCCCATGTTGATATTTAGAGTCTGAAGTGTTGTATGTTGTACGCAAGATAGTGCTTTCCTAATATTGAGGTATCTTGGAGATGCAAATCAATCAGAAAACTGTTTGTTGGACCAGGATTTAAGGGATGTATTATCTAGGCTGTGATGAACAACCCATTTCCACTGTTGGAAATATAGGTTTTTAATGATTAAATGGCAATGGCACTTTAATGTGATTCAAGAGATCTTGCTTCTAGTTTTAGTTCTGCCACTACCTGTACTACCTGTTTTAGTTCTGCCACTACCTGTGCTTCTAGTTTTAGTTCTGCCACTACCTGTACTTCGTTTCTTTTTGGGCCATGTAGCCCTCATCTGAAAAATGATTCCCCAACAGATAGAAGTAGGTAACCTAGAGTCTATGAGCCTAGGATGGAGATTTTCCTTCTCTTACTAGTCCTTAATGCCTGTAAAAATCCCATTTCTCATTCAGATGCCATGAGTATGCTAACTTTCCACTTTCTGCTTTTCTATTTTATTACAGTAAAATGGTAGACCATAGGTTAAAAGCCATTTTAAGGATCAGTCCAACACAGTCACCCATCTGATGCTCTGAGGAGCCCACACTGACCTAAATGGGGTTAGCTCTTTGGGAATGAAACATTGCTTTAGGTAATTGGATATTCCTGGGTTTCTGTCAGCTGGTGGTAGGAATAGGCCTGACAGGGAACTGAGAAAAACCCTGGTTCCTAAACTTAGCTTTGAGAACAAGATTTAGTTAGGTTGGGCTAGAATTGAGAGGCCTCCAGCTCTCTATGGGGCGACTTGAGTTTTTGACACGTATTTTTATTATATATATATATTTTTTTCCTTCTGAGACTAAGTCTCGTCCTGTCACCAGGCAGGAGTACAGTGGCATAATCTCAGCTCACTGCAACCTCTGCCTCCTGGGTTCAAGCGATTGTCCTGCCATAGCCTCCCGAATGGCTAGGACTACAAGTGCCCACCACCAAGCCCAGCTAATTTTTGTATTTTTAGAGGAGACAGGATTTCACCATATTGGTCAGGATGATCTTGATCTCTTGACCTTGTGATCCATCTGTCTTGGCTTCCCAAAGTGTTGGGATTACAGGCGTGAGCTACCGCACCCGGCCTATTGTATCTTTTTTTAAAAAAAAGTATTCTCTCAATTTTTGTGGGTAAATAGTAGGTGTATATATTTATGGGGTACATGAGATATTTTGATACAGGCATGCAGTGTGTAATAATCACATCAGAGTAAATGGGGTATCCATCCCCTCAAGCATTGATTCTTTGTGTTATAAACAACCCAGTTATACTCTTTTAAATTATTATTTACTATAGTCACCCTGTTGTGCTATCAAATACTAGGTCTTATTCTTTCTAACTTTTTGGGGGGGTACCTGTTAACCATTCACACTCCCTTCCCTACCCCTGTTACCCCTCCCAGCCTCTGGTAACCATCCTTCTACTTTCTCTCTCCATGAGTTCAATTGTTTTAAGTTTTAGCTCCCACGAATATGATAACATGCAAAGTTTGTCTGTCTGTGCCTGGCTTATTTCACTTAACATAATCTCCATTTCTATTCATGTTGCAAATGACGAGATCTCATTCTTTTTTTAATGGCTGAATAGTGTTCTGCTGTGTATATATACCACACTTTCTTTATTCATCTGTTGATGGACACTTAGGTAGCTTCCAAATCTTGGCTATTGTGAACAGTGCTGCAGTAAACATGGGAGTGCAGATATCTCTTTGATATTCTTATTTCCTTTCTTTTGGGTATAGACCCAGCAGTGGGGTTGCTGGATCATATGCTAGCTTTATTTTTAGTTTTCTGAGGAACCTCCAAACTGTTCTCCTTAGTGGTTGTATTAATTTACATTCCTGCCAACAATGTATAAGGGCTCCCTCTCTCCACATCTTCACCAACGTTTGTTATTGCCTTTTGAATATAAGCCATTTTAACTAGGCTGAGATGATATCTCATTGTAGTTTTGATTTGCATTTCTCTGATGATTGATGTTGATGGACATTTGCCATTTGTATGTATTTTTTGAGAAATGTCTATTCAGATCTTTTGCCCATTTTTTAATTTGATGATTTGATTTTTTTCTCATAGAGTTGTTTGAGTCCTTAATATATTCTGGTTATTAATCCCTTGTCAGATGGGTAGTTTACAGATATTTTCTGCCACTCTGTGGGTTGACTCTTCACTTTGTTGATTATTTTCTTTGCTGTGCAGAAGATTTTTAACTTGATGTGAGTCCATTTGTCCATTTTTGCTTTGGTTGCCTGTGCTTGTGGGATATTACTCAAGAAATCTTTGCCTGCTCCAGTGAGAGTTTCCCCAATGTTTTCTTGTAGTAGTTTTGTAGTTTCAGGTCTTAAATTTAAGTCTTTAATCCATTTTTATTTGACTTCTGTAAACAGCAAGAAATAGGGGTTTAGTTTCATTCTTCTGCATATAAATATCCAGTTTCCCTGGCACCATTTATTGAAGAAACTGTCTTTTCCCTAGCATGTGTTCTTGGCACCTTTGTTGAAAGTGAGCTCACTGTGTGTGGATTTGTTTCTGGGTTCTCTATTCTGTTCCATTGGTCTATGTGTCTTTTTATGCCAGTACTAGGCTGTTTTGGTTATGATAGCTCTGTAGTATAATTTGAACTCAGGTAATGTGATTTCTCCAGTTTTGTTCTTTTTGCTTAGGATAGTTTTGGCTAATCTAGGTCTTTTGTGGTTCCATATAAATTTTAGGATTTGTTTTTTCTATTTCTGTGAAGAATGTCATTGGCATTTTGATAGGGATTGCATGGAATCTGTAGATTGCTTTGGTAAGTATGGACATTTTAACAATATTGATTCTTCTAATCGATGAACATGGAATATATTTCCTTTTTTGGTGTCCGCTTCTTGCATCTATGATTTATAGTTTTCATTGCAGGAATCTTTCACTCCTTTGGTTAATTCCTAGATATTTTATCTGTGGCTATTGTAAATGGGATTACTTTTTTATTTTTTCAGATTGTTCACTGTTGGCATAGACAAATGCTACTGATTTTTGTATGTTGATTTTGTACTCTGCAACTTTATGAAATTTATCAGGTTTAATAGTTTTTTGGCTCTCCCTCTCCATCTCCCTCTCCATAGTCTCTGTCTGCCGCTCTCCGCGGTCTCCCTCTGTTACCGAGGCTGGACTGTACTGACACGATCTCGGCTCACTGCAACCTCCCTGCCTGATTCTCCTGCCTCAGCCTGCCGAGTGCCTGGGATTGCAGGCGCGCGCCGCCACGCCTGACTGGTTTTTGTATTTTTTGGTGGAGATGGGGTTTCGCTGTGTTGGCCGGGCTGGTCTCCGGCTCCTGACCTTGAGTGATCTGCCTGCCTCGGCCTCCCGAGGTGCCCGGATTGCAGACAGAGTCTCGCTCACTCAGTGCTCAATGTTGCCCAGGCTGGAGTGCAGTGGCGTGATCTAGGCTCTCTACAACCTCCACCTCCCAGCTGCCTGCCTTGGCCTCCCAAAGTGCTGAAGATTGCAGCCTCTGCCCGGCCGCCACCCCGTCTAGGAAGTGAGGAGTGTCTCTGCCTGGCTGCCCATCGTCTGGGAGGTGAGGAGCGTCTCTACCTGGCCGCCACCCTGTCTGGGAGGTGAGGAGCGCCTCTGCCCGGCCACCACCCCGTCTGGGAACTGAGGAGCGCCTCTGCCCGGCCACCACCCCGTCTGGGAACTGAGGAGCGCCTCTGTCCGGCTGCCCCATCTGAGAAGTGAGGAGCCCCTCCGCCCGGCAGCTGCCCCGTCTGGGAGGTGGGGGGCGCCCCCGCCCGGCAGCCTCCCCGTCTGGGAGGTGGGGGGCACCTCTGCCCGGCCACCACGTTTGGGAAGTGAGGAGCCTCTCTGCCCGGCCGCCACCCCGTCTGGGAGGTGTACCCAACAGCTCATTGAGAACGGGCCATGATGACGATGGCGGTTTTGTTGAATAGAAAAGGGGGAAATGTGGGGAAAAGAAAGAGAGATCAGATTGTTACTGTGTCTGTGTAGAAAGAAGTAGACATAGGAGACTCCATTTTGTTCTGTACTAAGAAAAATTCTTCTGCCTTGGGATGCTGTTAATCTATAACCTTACCCCCAACCCCGTGCTCTCTGAAACATGTGCTGTGTCCACTCAGGGTTAAATGGATTAAGGGCGGTGCAAGATGTGCTTTGTTAAACAGATGCTTGAAGGCAGCATGCTCGTTAAGAGTCATCACCACTCCCTAATCTCAAGTACCCAGGGACACAAACACTGCGGAAGGCCGCAGGGACCTCTGCCTAGGAAAACCAGAGACCTTTGTTCACGTGTCTGCTGACCCTCTCTCCACTATTGTCCTGTGACCCTGCCAAATCCCCCTCTGTGAGAAACACCCAAGAATGATCAATAAATACTAAAAAAATTTAAAAAAAAAAATAGTTTTTTGGTGGAGTCTGTAGGCTTTTCCAGATATAAAATCATGTCATCTGCAAACAAGGATAAATTTAACTTCTTCCTTTCCAGTTTGGATGCCCTTTATTTCATTCTCTGGTCTGATTGCTCTAGTTAGGACTATCAATACTATGGTAAATAACAGTGGTGAAAGTGGGCATCCTTGTCGTGTTCCAGATCCAGGAAAGGCTTTCAGTTTTTCGTCATTCAGTATGATACTAACTGTGGGTCTGTTGTATATGGCTTTTATTACGTTGAGGTAAGTTTCTTCTATACCCAGTTTTTCGAGAGTTTTTATCATGAAAGGATGTTGAATTTTATCAAGTGCTTTTTCAGCATCCATTGAAATGATGATACAGTTTTTCTTCATTCTGGTGATGTGATGTATCACATTATCACATTGATTGATTTGCATATGTCAAACCATGGTTCCCTCCTTGGGATAAAAACCCACCTGGTCATGGTGAATGACCTTTTCAATGTGTTCTAGATTTGGTTTGCTAGCATTTTGTTGAGGATTTTTGCATCAATATTCATGAGGGATATTGACCTGTAGATTTCTTTTTTTGATGTGTCTTTGTCTGGTTTTGGTATCAGGGTAATACCAGCCTTCTAGAATAAGTTTGAAAATATTCCCTCATCCTCTATTTTTCACAAGTTCGAGTAGGATTGATATTAGTTCTTCTTTAAATGTTTGGTATAATTCAGCAGTGAAGCCATTGGGTCTTGGGCTTTTTTTTTCCTTTGGCTGGGAGGCTATTACAGCTTCAATCATGTTACTTGTTATTGGTCTGTTTAAGTTTTGAATTTCTTCATGGTTCAATCTTGGTAGGTTGTATGTGTCCTTACTAATTTCTTCACTGACTCACTGGTCATTCAGGAGCATATTGTTTATTGTACACGTGTTTGTATAGCTTCCAAAATTCCCCTTGCTATTGATTTCTAATTTTATTCCATTGTGGTCAGAGAAAATACTTGATATTATTTCAGTTTTCTGAACGTTTTAAGACATGTTTTGTGACCTAGCATATTATCTATCCTTGAGAATGATCCATGTGCTGAAGAGAAGATTGTGTATTCTATAGCCGTTGGATGAAATGTTCTGTAAATATCTATTAGATCCATTTGGTCCATAGTGCAGATTAAATCTAATCTTTCTTGATTGATTTTCTGTCTGGATGATCTATCCATTGGTGAAAGTATGGCGTTGAAGTCTCCAGCTATTATTGTTTTGGGGTCTGTCTCTTGTTTTAGCTCTAATAATATTTGCTTTATATATTGGGATGATCCAGTGTTGGGTGCATATGTATTTATAATTGTTATATTCCCTTGGTGAATATATAATTCCCTGTTCTAGGGTAATGACCTTCTTGTCTCTTATAGTTTTTGTCTTGAAATCCATTTTGTCCCATATAACTACTCCTTTTTTGGGGGGGTTCCATTAGCATGGAATATCTTTTTTCATCCCTTTATTTTCAGTCTATGTGTCTCTTTGTGAATTATGTTTCTTGTAGGCAGTAGATCACTGGGCCTGGGTTTTTGTTTGTTTGTTTGTTTGTTTGTTTGTTTTTTGAGACAGACTCTCGCTCTGTTGCCCAGGCTGGAGTGCAGTGGTGCGATCTCTGCTCGCTGCAAGCTCCACCTCCTGGGTTCATGCCATTCTCTTCCCTCAACCTACTAAGTAGCTGGGACTACAGGCACCTGCCACCACGCCCAGCTAATATTTTGTATTTTTAGTAGAGACGGGGTTTCACCATGTTAGCCAGAATGGTCTCGATCTCCTGACCTCGTGATCCACCCGCTTTGGCCTCCCAAAAGTGCTGGGATTACAGGTGTGAGCCACTGTGCCTGGCCTGTTTTTTTTGTTTTGTTTAAATCCATTTAGCCACTCTCTGTCTTCTGATTGAAGAGTTTAGTTCATTTACATTCAATGTTATTATTGATAAGTAAGGACCTACTCCTGCCATTTTGTTATTTGTTTTGTGGTTGTTTTGTGGTTTTCTCTTCCTTCTTTTTTTCCTTCCTGTCTTCCTTTTAGTGGAGGTAGATTTTCTCAGGTGGTATGATTTAATTTCTTGCTTTTTGTTTCTTGTGTATCCATTCTTGTGTATTTTTTTTATTTGAGTTTACCATGAGGCTTGCAAATACTATCTTATAACCCATTATTTTAAACTGGTGACAACTTAACATTGATTGCATAAACAAGCAAACTAACAAGTATAAAGAAGACTAATAAAAACTCTATACTTCAGTGTCATCCCCCTGCTTTTTAACTTATTGTTTCTATTTATATCTTATTTTACTGTCTCTTTAAAAGTTATCATAGTTCTTTTTTGTGTGTGTGAAATGGAATTTCACTCTTTTCATCCAGGCTGGAGTGCGATGGCGCGATCTCGGCTCACTGCAACCTCTGCCTCCTGGATTCAAGCAATTCTCCTGCCTCAGCCTCCTGAGTAGCTGGGATTACAGGCACCTGCCACCACGCCCAGCTAATTTTTGTATTTTTAGTAGAGATGGGGTTTCACCATGTTGGCCAGGTTGGTCTCCAACTCCTGACCTTGAGTGATCCACCTGCCTCAGCTTCCCAAAGTGCTAAGATTACAGGCATGAGCCACCACGCCTGGTCCATAGTTATTATTTTTTATTGGTTCATCTTTTAGTCTTTGTGCCTAAGATAAGAATAGTCTACACCACACAATTATAGTGTTATAATATTCTTTGATTTTTGTGTACTTATTACTGGTGAGTTTTGTACTTTCAGGTGATTTCTTATTGCTCATTAACATCCTTTTCTTTCTTTCTTTCTTTCTTTTCTTCTCAAAGTCTCACTCTTGTCCCCCAGGCTGGAGTGCAATGGCACGATCTTGGCTCACTGCAACCTCTGCCTCTCGGGTTCAAGCAATTCTCCTGTCTCAGCTTCCTGAATAGCTGGGATTACAGGTGCTTGCCACCACGCCCGGCTAATTTTTGTATTTTAAGTAGAGACAGGGTTTCACCAAGTTGGCCAGGCTGTTCTCAAACTCCTGACCCCAGGTGATCCGCCTGCCTTGGCCTCCCAAAGTGCTGGGATTACAGGCGTGAGCCACCATGCCCGGCCTCCTTTTCTTTCAAATTTAAGAACTCTCTTTAGCATTTCTTGTAGAACAGGTCTGGTGTTGATGAAATCCTTCAACTTTTGTTTGTCTGGGAAAGTCTTTATTTCTCCTTCATGTTTAAAGGATATTTTCACTGGATATGCTATTCTAGGGTTAAAAGTTTTTTTTCCTTCAGCACTTTAAATATGTCATGCCACTCTCTCCTGGCCTGTAAGAGTTCCACTGAAAAGTCTGCTGCTAGACATATTGGAACTCTATTGTATGTTATTTGTTTCTTTTCTCTTGCTGCTTTTAGGAGCCTTTTCTTTATCCTTGACCTTTGGGAATTTGATTATTAAATGCCTTGAGGTAGTCTTCTTTGGGTTAAATCTGCTTGGTGTTTTGTAACTTTCTTGTATTTGAATATTGTTACCTTTTCCTAGGTTTGGGAAGTTCTCTGTTATTTATCCCTTTGAATTTCTACCTCTGTCTCTTTCTCTACTTCCTCTTCAAGGCCAATAACTCTTAGATATGACCCTTTGAAGCCCTTCTCTAGATATTGTAGGTGTGCTTCATTTTTTAAAATTCTCTTTTCTCTTATCTCCTCTGATTGTGTTTTTTCAAATAGCCTGTCTTGAAGCTCACTAATTCTCTGCTTGATCAATTCTGCTAGTAAGAGATTCTGATGCATTCTTCAGTATGTCCATTGTATTCTTCAACTCCAGAATTTCTGCTTGATTTTTAAAAATCATTTCAATCTTTTTGTTCAGTTTATCTGATAGAATTCTGAATTCCTTTTCCTTGTTATTTTAGATTTCTTTGAGTTTCTTCAAAACAGCTATTTTGAGATACCTGTCTGAAAGGTCATGTATCTCTGTTTCTTCAGGATTTGTCTCTGGTGCCTTATTTAGTTCGTTTGGTGAGGTCATGTTTTCCTGGATGGTCTTGGTATTTGTAGATATTTATTGATGTCTGGGCGTTGAAAAGTTAGGTTTTGTTTTGTTTTGTTTTGAGACAGGGTCTCATTCTGTTGCCCAGGCTGGAGTGCAGTGGTGCAGTCATGGCTCACTGCAGCCATGACCTCCCTGACTAAATTGATCCTCCCACTCAACCTCTTGAGTAGCTGGGACTACAGGCATGCACCACCACATCCAGCTACTTTTTGTATTATTATTATTGTTTTTTTTTTAGAGACAGGGTTTTGCCACGTTGCCCAGGCTGACCTCAAACTCCTGGGCTCAAGCAGTCTGCCTGCCTTGGCTTCCCAAAGTTCTGGGATTAAAGGCATGAGCCACCATACCCGGCCTGAAGAGTTAGGTATTTATTGTAGTCTTTGCAGTATGGGCTTGTTTGTACCCATCTTTGGGAAGATTTCCAAATATTTAAAGGGACTTGGGTGTTGTGATCTAAGCAATATCTGCATTAGGGAGCACCCTAAGCCTAGTAACGCTGTGGTTCTTCAAGACTTGTAGAGGTACTGCCTTGCTGGTGTTGGATAAACTCCAGAATTCTCTGGATTACCAGACAGAGACTCTGTGTTATCTTCTGTTGCTTTCTCCAGACAAATGGGATCTCTCTCTCTCTCTCTGTGCTGAGCTGCCTGGAGCTGGGAGTGGGGTGACACAGTTGTTACTGGGAAGGGCTCCCAATCCAGACCCCACAAGAGAGTTCTTGGATCTTGTGCAAGAAATAATTCAGGGTGAGTCCACAGTGCAAAGTGAAAGTAAGTTTATTAAGAAAGTAAAGGAATAAAGAGTGGCTACTCCATAGACAGAGCAGCCCCTAGGGCTGCTGGTTGCCCATTTTTATGGTTATTTCTTGATGATATGCTAAACAAGGGGTAGATTATTCATGCCTCCCATTTTTAGACCATATGTGGTGACTTCCTGACATTGCTATGGCATTTGTAAACTGTCATGGTGCTGATGGGAGTGTAGCAGTGAGGATGACCAGAGGTCACTCTTGTAGCCCTCTTGGTTTTGGTGGGTTTTAGCTGGCTTCTTTACTGCAACCAGTTTTATCAGCAAAGTCTTTATGACCTATATCTTGTGCCGACCTCCTATCTCATTCTGTGACTTAGAATGTCTAACCTCCTGGGAATGTAGTCCAGCAGGTCTCAGCCTTATTTTACCCAGTCCCTATTTAAGATGGAGCTGCTCTGGTTCAGATGCCTCTTGAAACAATCACCCCTATGGTCACCACCACTGGGACTGTGCTGGCTCAGACCTGAATCCAACACAGCACTGAGTCTTGCCCAGTGCCCGCTGCAGCCACTCCCTGGCTACTGCCTATGTTCACTCAAGACCTTAGAACTCTACAATCAGCAGGTGGCAAGGCCAGCCAGGCTTCTGTCCTTCCTTTCAGTGCAGTGAGTTCCCCGAGGGCGAAGCAGGTCCAGAGATGCCATCCAGGTGCCAGGGACTGGAGATGAAAACCTTAGAAATCTGCCTGGTTCTCTGTTCTACTGCAGCTAAGCTGGCACTCAAACCACAAGACAAAGTTCCTCCTAATCTTCCCTCCCCTTTCCACAAGCAGAGGAGCCTCTCCCTGTGGCCACTGCCACCATAGGCCCATGGGGAGTACAGCCAGGCTACTGCCAATGTTCACTTAAGGCCCAAGGGTCTTCGGTCAGCTCATGGTGAATGCTACCAGGCCTGAGACTCTACTCTTCAGGTAAGTGGGCTCGCCTCTGGCCTAGAGTAGGTCCAGAAATACCGTCTAAGAGCCAGTGCCTGGAATGGCAGACCCCAAGAGCCTGCTCAGTGCTCTACCCCATGTGGCCGAACTGGTACCTGATTTTTGGTTCTTATAAAGGTGTCTTTTTTGTGTAGATGCTAAATTTGGTGTTCCTGTTGGAGGTTGGGGAGGATCCGTGGCAGCTTGGATCTGGCCATTTTCTCTGCCCCTCTCCTATTATATCTTTTAATTTAATGATTCTATAAGCATCTCACATCTGGGGAAGCTTTTCTCTAAGACGAATATGATGAAATATATTGAGAGATAGTGTTCATTTCCTGGTGGATGTTCCCTTTCTAACCTGCTTGTTTGATCTTAGATCTGCTGTTCCCTACTGTTTTGTGAAGACTATGACATTAGTATAGTTGTAAAGTTATGTGAGATGTACATAAAAAGATAACAGTCACGCGTCTTTTAACGGCAGGGATACATTCTGAGAAGTGCATCCTTAGGCGATTTCATCATTATGCGAACATCAGAGTGTACTTATGCAAACCTAGATGGCATAGCCTGTTACAAACCTAGGCTATATTGTATAGCCTATTGTTCCTACACTACAAACCTATACAGTATCTTACTATATTGAATACTGTAGGAAGTTGCAACACTATGGGAAGTTTTTCTGTATCTGAAACATATATAATGTACAGTAAAAATATAGTAACTGCAGAAAGATGAGTATCTTCTCCCGTACCCAGATCCATAGGCCTGTGATGAGAATCAATGGAAATTTTGTATGTGGGTGGCAGGTTTCACCCCATAGAAAAGTGATAGAGAATAATGTATTTTCTCTGTATACAGAAAAGAGGTAGCCACCAACTTCCTCTTCTAAAAAGAGAGAGAAAAACTTTTATTCCTTTGAGATAGGATAAGAAGAATCTTGAGTTCTTATAAACCATTTGGAATGTAAATATGACTTTCCAAGGGCTAGATAAACATCTCTGTCATGGAGAGAGTGGGGAAGTTACTACCAGGAGGTGTTTCCAAGGTCTAGGCTTCTGTAAATACCCAGAGAGAGTCTTCCTGGCACTTTGGAACTTAGCCCAGGGGCCTATTCTGGGCTGTAACCATTTGACCCACTTGTAGAGATAAGAGAAGTTTTATCATCCTTTTGGATTAGAGCAGTTAAGTAGACAAATGGCTATAGAGCTAATCCTCAGGATATGTGAAAAGTAAAATGCTTCTAGGGGAAGTGAAAGCAAATTCTCTAGCTTTATGGTGTATGTATTTCCATGTCTTGGGAGGCTAGGGCTTTTTACAGAAGCTAAGCAAAATCCAGATAAATCTTATTTCCCCACATCTACAAAGAATACTTACACAATTCTGATGTTCCCTATTGTTTAACAACAAAAAAATTGTGACTTAGTGGAGATAATAGAGATATTCAATTCCTTAGATATCATACAAGTGAGGATTTTTCAAAATTAGGACCAAACCTCACAGTAGTTCAAATAGAAGCCACAATCTAGACATGTATTTCTTTTTCTCTCTTTTTCTTTTCTCTCTGTTAAAAAAAAGGCTGATGATTTGAAGTCCATTTCTTTTTATTGGTATGGTTCATGCCTGTGAAAATGAAGCAGATGGCAAACTGGGGCATTTTAAATTCCACTGCTAGCTAAAACTATAAGAAGAAAATAAAGCCCTATGATGATGCTGCATTGATCAAGTGATTAAAATGAAAGAACATTTTGTAACAGAATTTCTCTTGATCTCCTCGACTAGACTTGTAGTGTGAAAATTTTAGAATAACTCATTTAAAACAGACTGCTTGTTAATTTTGTCTCCATTAATTGTGTTAGTCTTGTGGTGTATTAGTCTGCATAGTCTGCTGTAACAAAATATAGATGGGGTGGCTTATAAAGAGACATTTATTTCTCACATTCCCGGAGGCTGGAAAGTCCAACATCAAGGTGCAGGAAGATTGTTTTCCTATTGAGGGCTCTCTTCCTGGCTTGCAGATGGCCACCTTCTTGTTGCATTCTTCAACAGGAGGAGAGAGAAAGCTCTGGTATTTCTTCCTCCTCCTCCTTTTCTTTTTTTTTTTTTTTTTTTGAGAGCGTCTCACTCAGCCAGCCACCCAGGCTGGAGTGCAGTGGTGTGATCCCGGCTCGCTGCAACCACCACCTCCCAGGTTCAAGCAATTCTCCCATCTCAGCCTCCTGAGTAGCTGGGATTACAGGCACCTGCCATCATGCCCGGCTAAATTTTGTATTTTAGTAGATATGGGATTTCACCATGTTGGCCAGGCTGGTCTTGAACTCCTGACCTCAGGTGATCTGACTGCCCCGGCCTCCCAAAGTGCTAGGATTATAGGTGTGAGCCACCACACCCAGCCTCCTCCTCTTAAGGGCCACTAATCTTATCATGGGTGCTCCATACTCATGAGCTCTTCTAAACCTAATTATCTTTCAAAGGCTCAATCTCCTGATACCAGTATATTGGGAGTTAGGGCTGTAACATATAAATGGGGGAGAGGGGGACATACAAATATTTAATCCATAACAGAAGACCTGGGATGACTTCCAGTAAAAGATGGCAGGCTTGACAAATACATAAATTTCCTTCCTGAAATCCTAATAAGAATACAGGAATTAGGCCGGGTGCGGTGTCTCACGCCTGTAATCCCAGCACTTTGGGAGGCCAAGGCGGGCGGATCACAAGGTCAGGAGATCAAGACCATCCTGGCTAACACGGTGAAATCCCGTCTCTACTAAAAATATAAAAAATTAGCTGGGTGTGGTGGCGGGCGTCTGTAGTCCCAGCTACTCGCGAGGCTGAAGCAGGAGAATGGTGTGAACCCGGGAGGCAGAGCTTGCAGTGAGCCGAGATCACACCACTGCACTCCAGCCTGGGCAACAGGACCAGACTCCATCTCAAAAAAGAAAAAAAAGAATACAGGAATTAAAAAATATATCAGCCCACAAGGATAAAGAGATTGGGAAAGAAGACAATAGCAACAAAATATTGGAGTAGAAAGTAGAGGGACAAATAGTAACAAGCTTCTATTAATTATCTACTATTGCTATCTAATGTGCCCAAAAAAATGTGCCAAAACTTAGTGGCTCAAAATGGCACACATTTATTAGCTCAGTTTCTGTAGTCCGGGAATCCAGGTATGCTGAGGTCTCTCGCAGGCTGAAATCATGTTGTTGGCTGCAACTGTAGTCATTACAAGGCTGTTGGAAAGCTTTCAGGTCCACTCACTGGTTGTTGGCTGCATTCAGTTACTTATAGGGGAATGGGCTTTGGACTTTCTCTCTGGCTGTTGTCCAGTGCTTGCCCTCAATTCACTTCCACTTGGTCCTCTTCAACATGGAAGCTTGTTTCATCAAAGTATGCAAGCTGATAGACAACAGAGCGAATCTAGCAGACAGAAGTAATTCATTTGTTATGTAATCATGGAAGACGCATCCCATCATTTTTTCCATACCATTTAATAGAAGTACATCACTGGGTCCTGCCCACATTCAAGAGGAAGAGATTACACTTACATAAGGGTCAGAATACCAGGAGGCAGGATCACTGAGTGCCATATTCTTAAAAAAATTAAAGTATTTATTGAGATAACTGCAGACTCACAGGCAGTTTGTGAGAAATAATACAGAGAAATCAGGTATATACTCTCCATTTTCCCCCAAAGGTAACATTTGGCAAAACTGTGGTATAATATCACAACCCAGATATTGACTGATATTGAAGTTGATATAATCCACCAATCTTATTTATATTGCCCCAGTTTTACTTGTGCTTGTGTGCATGAGTTTACATCTGTATACTTTTATCATGTGTAGGTTCATGTATCCACCACCACAACCAGATATTCCTAATGTTAGAGGACTGTATTTGAAAGTTGCATGCAACAGTCTACCCAGTGGTTCACAATGCAAAATAATACTGGTTCATAATGCAGAAATACATTAACCCCCTCCCAGTGCCCCAAAATTGTCAGCCCAAAGTCCAGAACATTACAGCGTCAGCTCAAAGTCCAGAATTGTGTCATTTGAATCAGCATTGAGTACAGCTCCAAATACAGAGTCTCTTTCCATCTATAAACCCATGCTGTAGGATTGAGTGAATGTTTGTGTCACCATAAATTCATATGTGGAAACCTTAAGCCTCAATGGAGGCTTTTGGAGATGGGATCCTTGAGAAGTAATTAGGTCATGAGGATAGAGCTCTCATGGTTGGATTAGTGTCTTTACAAGAAGAAACAGGGCAGAGTTGCTTCCTCTTTCTGCACTCCGCTATGTGAGGACATAGAATAAGATAGCCATTTGCCAACTCGGAAGATGACCCACACCAGAACCCAACATGCAGGCACCCTAATGAACTTCCAAGCCTCCAGAACTGTGAGAAATAAATTTCTGTTGTTTAAGCCACTTAGTCTGTGGTTTTCTGTTACAGCATCCTAGATTGACTGAGACCCCCAGGGACTCAAGGTCGTGCTTGTGGTTTTCATCTTGTTTTTGCATTTCCCCACTTTTCATCCGTCATCCTTTCCTGATGTCCTGCCCTGTGGACCTCAGCTCTAGAATCAGACCAGACATGAAGAAAACGCCTTATAGAGACTGCCTAACCAGTTTCCACAGTTGTACAAGTCCAAGTCTTTGTAACAAATCTTTATATAGTCACTCATACGCATTCATAGTAGTCGCTTCTCTGGATGAACCCAACTGATACACAGCACAGAAAGCTTATCATTAGGCAGCAATGGGAAAAGCTACAAATCAACCAGTTTATACTGTTTAACCTTAGGATTTGACAGAACAAGTGCTTTCAGAAATACGGGGTAAATTGTAGGCTAGAAGCATGATAATTGGTTGAAAATCTGCTCAAGAAACTATTAGATTCCAAACTCTCTTTTCTACTCTGCACAGCTGGCAAGTGCCCTCTTTTCCCCCTGGAAGGAACTTCAGAGTTTTATTTCTTTAGACTTGAGGATATCTGGCACAGTTGAGAGCTTGCGTACTCTGTGGAAAACAGAATTGGGTGAAAGTTAACTTAGTGAGGTTGAGCCATCTTTCTTTACCCATATTGCAGATGTCAGCCCCCGGGATTATATCTTCCAAGCAGATGAGAAGAGTCTTGTGGGGAATATGGCCAACCCAAAAGAAGAGACTTGAAGATACTGGCATTGTATAAAATCCTCAACAGTATTATTATCATAGATGTGAATTTTTTTTTTTTTTTTTTGAGACGGAGTCTCGCTCTAGCTCCCAGGCTGGAGTGCAGTGGTGCGATCTCGGCTCACTGCAACCTCCGTCTGCCGGGTTTTACGCCATTCTCCTGCCTCAGTCTCCCAAGTAGCTGGGACTACAGGCATGCACCACCTACGCCCGGCTAATTTTTTTTGTATTTTTAGTAGAGATGGGGTTTCACCGTATTAGCCAGGATGGTCTCGAACTCCTGACCTTGTGATCCGCCCGCCTCGGCCTCCCAAAGTGCTGGGATTACAGGCATGAGCCACCGCGCCCGGCATAGATGTGAATTTATTTGCTAGGTCTCAGCAAGCTAAAACAAAGATTTAATTTAAAGAAAATGGTTTTAGGATAAGTACACTAATCAAAAAGAGTCTTCCTTTATCTGTGAAAGATTGTCTCTTTTCTTCCAAGTGCACATCTGAGAAGGGTCACTATATGTAGTGCTGAGGGAGAGGGGACTCTTGAGCAACACCTGTCAGTTACATCAGTGCTGGCGATCAGTGAGTGACAGGTGTCATCACCTGTGCACCATCATGTTCATTTTGGACAAGAAAAGGAAGTACCTCCAACATGGTGAGTAGTAACTTATGAAACTAGTCACCACAGAAAGGGCATAGGCCAAAAATTTAAGTTCCAAAAGGATATATGTGAAATGATGAGTGATAGATCCATAGTGCCTCGCAGTTAGTTCTCATTCAATACACATTTGCAGAGTGAATAAATGAATATTTTGCTACTTGTTTTTCCCCTTTAGTGCATATTTCTAGATTGCCTTTTAATTATTTCCTTTCCCAGGAACCAGCTTTGCTTACATTGTAGCTACCTCCTGCTGGAGAATTCTGCATTTTATTTTAACTGCTTTATCTTAGTAGTTGGACAAACTTTTATGCCTTTATTATGTATACTGTCCTGACTAATGTACCTTCCACTTCTATGAATCTTGCAGAGAATTTCTTCACAGTACCCTACCTCTAGTGGAATATGCACAATAGGGCTGTATTGTCCATGTTGTGAGCCATTTATTACCCAACAGAATAACCAGCTGTGAGAAGAAAACATAGCTCTAAATCTTGTCATCCTCCCCTTTCATGCAGCCCAGCTCTATTTTGCTTTTACTTGGACCTGACACTTTAAACATGTTTAACTTAGCCTGTCTTGCTGACTCTTGGATTTTCTTGAGAGAGTTGCATACGTAGGTCTTTCTTTTAAGAAATTTCAGCAAAGAAGAAAAGGAAAACCTCTGATAATTCCAGCATTCAGAAATAACCATATTAATATTTTGGTATCTTACCTTCCATCTTCTCTGTGTACAAGCATGTTTGTATATAATATGTTTTTAAAAACATGTACTAAAGTCAAAAGTACAAAATTATAAAATATACTTTCTATGGATTTGCCCTCTTCCAAAAAAGCAAGAACATGTATTAAAATTGCGAATTATATATTTTAGGTACAGTTAGTGTTCATGGATTTCTGGTATTTGAACATGGGCTTTAATTTTAGTTTTTAAATTTATAACTGAATATATGCATATTCAGTTGGCCAGAGTCTGAATATCTAATTTTATGTTATGTTAGTCACCATTCTTTGCACCTCTAGTTGATGTCCTTCTTTGTCCTAACCATATTGTTGTGATCTCTCTGCTTTGTAACACTATCAGCATTTTGATTTACCTATCTTCACTGTTTTACATAATAATGATTTATGCAAATTAATAGACCCAATTTGCCTCAACTCTGGCACAGATGCTTGCACAATTGGCCTGTTGGCTGTTATAGGATCATTCTAAGTGTTTATTCCCTTAGCTCATTGGTTTGACTTGTGGCACTCTTCACATTTTGATAGGGCAATTTTTTGGTAAGTTCTGTTTAGTGCATTGCAGAATGTTTAGTGTCTCTGACCTTGTATACTACACGTTTTTAGCACCCATCAGTCAATGTGACAGCCAAATAAGGCTCCCCACACATTTCCACATTTAGTGTGTCGGGGGTGGGAGGGAGGACCATGGCTGGGTAACTGATGCATTGAAGTCCAAATTTCATGTAAAGGTGGCTTAGAAGTGAAAATGTGTAATTATCAAAGTGCTGGTTTTGAAATGTAAGAAATTTGAAGACCACAATTGCAATAACATTATGTATAGTTTGGGGTCTAAAGTTTTTCAAAGTATCATTGTCATGAATCTTTTCTTGTATCATTAATATTTTCTTGAAAGCAATTGTAATGAATGCATAATCATCATATGTTACAGATTCATAATTAACCTGTCTATTATTATTGGACAATTGAATTGTTTTCAATTTTTTGCTGTTATAAATAATGTTACAGTTAACATCTTTATAGATAAAATCTAATTAGGTATTTATTAAACCCACAATAAGAAATATGCAAAAATTTTATTTTCTCTTTTGATCTCTTTTTATACCTACTTTAGGTAAAGATGTTCTCAGAGCTATTTAGGGAAGATCAGAATAAGAGTAGCTTCTCTTTATTTCTTGGAAAGGCCTGGGAAGTCTTGTTTTCACATGTAACTTCTTGTATTTGTAGGAGATGCCTTTGGTCCTTGCATGCATCCATTTTTGCCCACCTCTGATTTCATTTGTAACTGGTGGATAGTTTCTTACAAATTCAGACTCACCTTCCATTGCTGGTGTTTCATCTCAAACCCAAGCTATACCCAGTCTTTCTGTATTCTGCTCAATGCCTTCTTCAGCAGCACAGGAACTCGGGAGTTTGCTGAGCCTGTATACCCAGTGCAGCATTGGAGGACTGTGGAGTTAATGCCCCTTCTTCCCCGCTCTATCTCCCTTCTGCTCCCATATCAGGGAGCTGAGGACAACCCTCAAATGGTTGAATAAATGTTTCAGCCTCTTGTCTTTCAGATGGACAATTGTGAGTGATATTCTAAGTGCTACTCATAGGTACTGGCAGAATGAGTCCCCTGTTGTCTCTAGCAGTCACCTCAGTAATGCTCTTACATTAGCTCTTTTTCCTTCCTGTATCATGCCTCCCATTCTCTTTCTCCTGCTTTATGATAAGATGACCTCCCAGAGAAGTTACTACACCCAAATCCTTGTCTTAGGCTCTGCTTTTGGGGAAACCCAAGCTAAGATTCATGTTAGGACTTTTTTGTTTATTATGCTTCTTCTTAAATTCATATGATATACTTTAACGTAACTAAATGGCAAGTGAGAAAACAGCCTGGTGTGACAGATTATAATTAGCAAAGATACAAAATCAGTGGGCCAAAGTTAAGTAGAACCTATAGGGGAAATAAAATATCATATGACCTAACTGAAGGTATTATTTTCTAGTAAATACCATTAGTCTTTAAATAGTTACATAGTCTAAAATGTGCTTAGAATGGTCTTTTTCTATAGAATCTTTCTTGCTTATGACTTACATTCAATAAATAAAATTGCCAACATAACAATAAGCTTCTTAGAAGATGCATTTATTACCCTCTGTAAATGTACACACCAGAAATCCCAGTTGGTTTCAAGTTCATTATTGAACATTAAACTTCTCTCTCTCTCTCTCTCTCTCTCTCTCTCTCTCTCTACCTACCAACCTACCTACCTACCTACCTATCTACCTGCCTGCCTACCTACCTACCTACCTACCTACCTACCTACCTACCTACCTACCTATTTATTGAGATGGAGTCTTGCTCTGTCATCCAGGCTGGAGTGCAATGGTGTGATCTTGGCTCACTGCAACTTCTGCCTCCCAGGTTCAAGCGATTCTCCTGCCTCAGCCTCCTCAGCCTCCCGAGTGGCTGGGATTATAGGTGCCTGCCACCATACCCAGCTAATTTTTTTTTGTATTTTTAGTAGAGACATGGTTTCACATGTTGTCTGGGCTGGTGTCGAACTCCTGACCTCAGGTGATCTGCCCGCCTTGGCTTCCCCAAGTGCTGGGAATACAGGTGTGAGCCACCATGCCTGGCCCAGTAAACCTCTTTCTATGATGTGTTGCTCTTCTTGAAAGTAACAAAGGCTGGGCGTGGTGGCTCACGCCTGTAATCCCAGCACTTTGGGAGGTTGAGGCAGGCAGATCATGAGATCAGGAGTTCAAGACCAGCCTGGCCAACATAGTGAAACACCCATCTCTACTAAAAATACAAAATTTAGCAGGGCATGGTGGCGCACACCTGTAGTCCCAGCAACTCAGGAGGCTGAGGCAGGAGAATCACTTGAACCTGGGAGGTGGAGGTTGTAGTGAGCTAAGATCGCACCACTGCACTCCAGCCTGGTGACTGGGTGGGACTCTGTCTCGAGAAAGAAAAAAGTAACAAAGCTTTTAGATCATCAGTAAGTTAGTCTGTAATTGTATTTTGGGGACATGTTGCTTCTGCCTGAGAAGTTATAATAATAATAGTTATAGTAAAGTGATATTGTGGCATATATCACTTTACACAAGCCTGCTCATCTTTAATGCTGTGTCAGCCTTGTGAAGTAGGTACTGTTATCCCCATTGTATAGATAAGGACACTGAGGTTTAGAGAAGTTAAGGTACCTACGTCACATAGCTATTGAGTGACAGTGTGGATACCCATCCCTGCCTGCCTAACTGAGCTCTGCCTTTAAACTCTTCATGCCAGTTCCCTGTCTCATCAGATAGATTCTGAGGCCTCTAGGCATCAGCCGGATATCCCTAAGGACAGTGTTGGAGGAACTGCTGAGTGGATTCATGGTCAACTACCAAGTGTTCTGTTCCTTCTCGTTTTGCTTACAGGCACAACCAATGTCAGACAGATGCCTCGATTACTTCTAACTGCAATGTAAATTTAAATTCTGATATCCCAAAACAGGTTTTCAGAGGAGCAAATCCAGGCACACTAACTTCAGCAACAGGTCAGAGGTGAGGCCTGTCTGTACATCCTGATTTCTTTCTTTATGGCACACTGTGGGCAGGAAATAGTTCCTCACTGGACAGTACTAATTATAATAAATTATTGTATCAGAATTTTATTCAATTGTATCATAGAAGGATTTTAGTTGCCCCTCCCTTGACCCTAAAATGTATTGTACATGTGCCCTAAAGAGCCATTTATGAAGAAACTTCAAGTAACATACTAGATATAACAGGAGAAGGTAGTAGAAGATAAGCGTTTGCTGAGATCCTCCGAAGCAAGCTAGGTGTTATAATCTCATGAATGTATAAATTAGCATTCAATTGTTATCATAACTGCCTCTGTGCATTAATGATCCTATGGCAATAATTTTGTTTTTCTCTTTGTTATTGATGTAAAGAGACTGGCAGTTGATTAAAAGTAAAGAGTATTGATTACATTAATAACATATTGTCTTTATGATGCTTTATAATTCACAAAGCCTCTTCCCCTAAGCTTTTGAGCAACTCCAGGTAGTCAAGAGGCAACTTTATCCCTACTTTTACAGGTTATGGGACTGAAGCTCAGAGAGGCTAAATAACTTGCTCAAAGAACAAGAACTTCAACATTCTTCTTCTTTTTTTTTTTTCCCCCAAGATGGAGTCTCTCTCTGTCACCCAGGCTGGAGTGCAGTGGCTCTCTCTTGGCTCACTGCAACCTCTGCCTCCCAGGTTCAAGCAATTATCCTGCTTCAGCCTCCTGAGTAGCTGGGATTATAGGTGCATGCCACCACGCCCGGCTAATTTTTGTATTTTTTTAGTACAGACGGGGTTTCACCATGTAGGTCAGGCTGGTCTCGAACTCCTGACCTCGTGATCCACCTGCCTTGCCCTCCCAAAGTGCTGGGATTACAGGTGTGAGCCACTGCACCCAGCCCCCTCATTCTTCTAACTTTTAAGCCACAGTAAATCTTACCAGTTTGATTGAATTTCTTGTTGTTTTTCAATGGCTACTAATAGACTGAATTGGTTGGAAAGGAAGAATGGGATGAGGAGTAATGATTAAGATACTATTAAGAGTTTAGTTGATTCTATAACTGTTACAAATTATACAATTGAAGGCTACTCTTAGAGTTGGGTGGTACAAAGAGCTTATATAATCATCCTCCATCTTTACCCTGCATATTTGAGGAAAAAAAAAGGATTATCCTAATTATTTCTAATATATCACACAGAAATGTTACAAGGTAGATGAATGCCAAATGACACTTTGAAATGGCTTGGAAGAAAAAGGACATGAATTTAAGTCAGCAGTACTGAATTATCATACCCTGAGAGAAAGGAACGTAATGTTCTACAGTGGCCGTACACAGAAGAAATAAAGCAAATTTTATCCCTTAAGCTTCTACACTGTAATAAAATAAGGGGCAGAGTATATTAAATAGAGCATTATTATTTTGTTCTTGTTCCTGCTTAATGTTAAGTCACAAAATTATAATGTCACTATAAGTTATTACCAAGGAATAATTAAATCACAATGAAATGACTAGTGTACTTACACCTCTGTTGTTCATCCATAGAAAACATGAAACTTATAATGTGGGGATTTTAGGACTTTTTTTTATTATTTTATTTTTTGAGATGGAGTCTCACTCTGTCACCCAGGCTGGAGTGCAGAGGCATGATCTTGGTTCACTGCAACCTCTGCCTCCCAGGTTCAAGCAATTCTCCTGCCTCAACCTCCCAAGTAGCTGGGATTACAGGCACCCGCCACCATGCCCAGCTAATTTTTGTATTTTTAGTAGAGAGGGAGTTTCACCATGTTGGCCAGGCTGGTCTCCAACTCCTGACCTCAAGTGATCTGCCCACCTTGGCCTCCCAAAGTGCTGGGATTACAGGCATGAGCCACTGTGCCTGGTGAGCATTTTTAATAATTATATGTATATGTTTCTGAATTATAAAAGGACAACATGCTGCTTGTAAAAAGAACTTGAAGAATCAAGTGTTAGAAAGCAAAAGACAAAAGTCTGTTCTCTACATTGTCTCTCACTTCACACATCCTGTGGTAACCTGTAGTGTATATTTGTTTATTTTAAAGAAAAAATTTTTAATAAGGAATAGAAAATCTAATGTTTCTGAAATGTGGGATAAAATATGTAAAATAACCAAATTATTTATTGGCCAAGAGATTTCAATGGATGGAAACTAAAAGTTAAAATCTACTAAGAAAGATATCTGGAACTTTAGATTTTGAAAAGCAATTCTGGACTGCAAGGATGTTTCGTTTCTTTTAGAAATGTCAGTTTGATTTAAAAGTGAGGATCCTCTGAGGCACTTTAAAAACCAATAATGTAGATTGTAATTTTGATAAAATCTGCTCTAATCACTTCAAGATTAAGTTATATATATGCCTCCATGGGTGTGCCCACAGCACCCCAAACTTAATCCATCATACACCTTATCACATGGTCCCTGATTTATGATGGCTTCGACTTTATGATGGTGTGAAGCAATGTGCATTTGGTCGAAACTGTACTTTGAATTTTGATCTGTTCCTGGGTTAGCAATATGCAGTACAATACTCTGTCTCGATGTGGGGCAGCAGCAGCAAGCTACAGCTCCCAGCCAGCCACGCATCATGCAGGTCAACAACCAATACTCTGCTGTGTATTGTGTGACTGGCGTTTCTTGGACATTGTGTTTCGCGCTTTTGCATCCTGTCATGTCTACAGTATGCTCATCTATGCCTCCTGCTTCTGGTGAGAAGAAGAGGAAGGCAATTACTCTTGAGATGAAACTCAAGATAATCGCCCTGCATGAAGACGGCAAGGGATTAATGGCCATTGCACAAGAGTTGGGACTTTCACGATCCATGATCCTCAACCATCTTAAAGAATAAGAAGTGAATCAGTGAGGCAGTGAAATCGTCAGCATTAGTTAAATCCACTGTCACGAAGAAAAGAGCTTGGCTGATTGATAATATCGAAAAATTACTTGTCATGTGGATGTAAGACCAGATATCGAAGGGCATACTACTTACTGATGATGCCAGCTAGGGCAAGAAGTGTTTTTGATTACACTAAAAGAGTGAATGAATGTGTCGATGATCCTATTATACACAAGTGTTTATGGCAAGTCATAGGTGATTCCAGTGCTTCAAAAGGCATCATAATTTTCTTAATGTGAAGGTCAGCAGAGAGTCAGCAAGCGCTGATATTGAATGTGTCAAAGCTTTTAGGAAGAGCTGTACACGATAATTGTGGATAATAAATATTTCCCAGGACAAATATTTTATGTAAATAAAATAGGGTTGCTCTGGAAGCAACCTGTCAAGAACTTAAGGCATTCAGACTGTGTATTGCTGCTTTTGGGTGGAAATGTTGCAGGGTTCAAATTAAAGCTTTTCCTAATTTACAACTCAGGGAACCCAAGAACACTCAAGAATGTGAGCAAGCATTCGCTTCTTATTTATTATCACCATAACAAGACACCCTGGAGGACCTCAGCATTGTTCGAAGACTGGCTTTTGAACTGTTTTCTTCCACAGGCAAGAGAATATTGTAAGCAAAAAACGACTTCATTCAAGATCTTTTATTTTTATTTTTAGAGAGACAGTCTTGTTCTGTCACCCAGGCTGGAGTGCAATGGTGTGATCATAGCTCACTGTAACCTTGAATTCCTGGACTCAAATGATCCTCCTGGCACAGCCTCCCAAGTAGCTAGGATCACAGGTGCACACCAGCACACTTGACTGATTTTTAAAAAATTTTTTGTAGAGTCAAGATTTTACTATGTTGCCCAGGCTGGTCTTAAACTCCTGGACTGAAGCAGTCCTCCCACCTCAGCCTCCCAGAGCACTAGGATTATAAGCACGAGCCACTGTACCTGGCCCCATTCAAGATTCTTCTGATCTTAGACAGTGCTCCAGGGCACCCACAGCATATAGGTGACATGCATTCTTATGGAAAGTTATGAGTTTGCTGCCAAACACAACCACACTCAACTCATGGACCAAGGCACAATAGCTGCATTCAAAGCACACTATGCCAGGCATTTGCTCCGGCTGTTGAAGTGAATGAATCTGGCTGAATGCTCCTAGAGTTCTGGAAAAGTTTTAACATTCTAAATGCTATCCAGAATATCACTGGAGCATGGAAAGAAGTCACACAGCAATGCATGAATGGCATTTGGAAAAAAGTTTTGAAGACATGTGAACACATTCAAAGGCCTTAGCAAGGTTCTGCTGTTGATGAAACAGTAACAAGATACTAGTGCTTGGAGAATAGCTAGAATTGATGAAGAGGATATTTATTAACTTCTTGGCATTGAATCTGAAGAGCTTTCCAATGAGGAGATAATCAAACTGGAGGAAGAAAGAAGTTGAGAAAGAGGAAGAAGTTATACCTGAGGCACCAAGAAAGTTAACGGCAAAGAAACTGGCAGAGATATTTGCCACTATCAGCAGTGCCATTCAGAAGTTAGAAGAAAGGGATGTCATTATTCACAGGAGCTGACACACAGTACAGGATGCTCTTGCTTGCTACAGAGAAATATATAATGAAAAGGAGAACAAACTGTATAGTCCAAACCTGATGTCGGCCAGGCTGGTGGCTCACACCTGTAATCCCAGCATTTTGGGAGGCCAAGGTGGGTGGATCATTTGAGGTCAGGAGTTCAAGACCAGCCTAGCCAACATGGTGAACCCCCGCCTCTACTAAAAATACAAAAATTAGCCAGGTGTGGTGGAGCATGCCTGTAGTCTCAGCTACTCAAGAGGCTGAGGCAGGAGAATCATTTGAACCGGGGAGGTGGAGGTTGCAGTGAGCTGAGATCGCACCACTGCACTCCAGCCTGGGTGAAAGAGCAAGACTCTGTCTCAAAAAACAAAAAATTTAAAATTTAAAAATTAAAAAAACTTGATGTCTTCCTGAAGAACACTATGCCTGCTAAACCATTAACAAGTATCGATGCCCCAGTGCCTTCTCCCAGCTACTCTCAGGCCTCATCAGAAGAGAAATTAATGACCCTGTTGCAGTAGCATCCCCATCATCCAGCAATTAATTTTAGTTCAATGCTTCAAACATTCTTCAGGCCCAGTATGCATTCACCTGTGTATGTTACTTAATTGTGAGTATCCATGCAGCTATCCTGTTTTTCACTTTCAGTACAGTATTCAATAAATTACATGAGATATATTCAACACTTTATTATAAAATGGGCTTTGTGTTAGAAGATGTTACCCCTGTAGGCTAGTGTAAGCATGCTGAGCACATTTGAGTTGTAAGCTAGGCTAATCTTTGAAGTTTATTTTAATAGGTTAGGTGCATTTTCAGCTTATGATATTTTCAACTTACAGTGGGTTCTTGGAATGAACTCATCATAAGCTAAAGAGCATCCATATTACAATTACAATCACTCTTTGATCTCATGGAGTAGGGACTGTATCTTGTTTACTAGTAGATTTCCAGAGTCTAGTGCATTATATAGCAAATATAATAAATGGTCAATAAATGGTTTTGGGAGAAAGAGAGGATACAGGGTGAGGTACAGTATCTCATCGTTCTGAGGAATGCAGTTTCCATTGAGTATACAGTAGTCAGAAAATTATTTCTTTAGGTTGTCTTAAATTATCTGCAAAGAAAAATTTTTGTTTAGGTTGTTGTAAGTCTTTTCCTTAATGATTTTTCCTTAATGCATTCGTCCTCAGTGTTAAAGCTCAGACATGATTCAGTTTTAGCCTTTTTCTATCATCATTTTAGTTACAAATGGGTGTCCTAGATTAGGGTTTCTGTTGACCAGTGTCCTACAGTCTGAGGTAACTCCTCAAGTGAAATTTAGGTTCTAAGACTGTGACAAAACTGGCTTGTTAGCACTGTTTACACTAAGCACTTGATTCTCTCCTACATAATTTCCTTCTGGACTAATTTTACAGTTCTCACCAATCCCAAATTCCTTCCTGAAATTCTTAGAGGAGATATGTGGAAGATTTTTCTGGCAGAGAAAATTTACAAGAAAAAAAGTTCTTATCACAAATTTTCTTTTCCAGTGATTATAAATAAGCTGTTTTAAAGAAGAGTGTAAAAGCCTTTATAGAAGAGATTTAGTAGATTTAATACTCAAAAATTTAATATTCAGAAATCATGGCTGTAGTACATAGGTGCTATCATCTCTGTCGCTACATAGATAAATAGTTATAATTCAGAATACACAGACTCATGAAAAGTCCATTGAGAATCAGGATTTTTTTTTTTAATTAAAAAGAAATCCTGGGCCAGGCGCAGTGGCTCATGCCTGTAATCCTAGCACTTTGGGAGGCCGAGGCAGGCGGATCACCTGAGGTCAGAAGTTTGAGACAGGCCTGGCCGACATGGCAAAACCCTGTTTCTACTTAAAACACAAAAATTAGCCAGGCATGGTGGCATGCGCCTATAATCCTACCTATTCGGGAGGCTGAGGCAGGAGTATCAGTTGAACCCAGGAGGCGGAGGTTGCAGTGAGCTGAGATCATGCCATTGTGCCATTGCACTCCAGCCTGAGTGACAAGAGTGAGAGTCCGACTCAAAAAAAAAAAAAAAAAAAAAAAAGGAAGCCTGGATAGCGTTCGTACTTGCAAGACTGTAGTAAACAACTTGAGGAGCATTAGCTGCATTTTGTCACATTATAATTAAAACAGGCTGATTTTCTTTCTTTTAGGACAAAACAAATTTTATTTGGAGATATTTGTTCAACATTAAGGGGTAAATAGAACAAAGAAGGACAAAATATAGGCATTAATATGTTAAAATTGCTAATGTCATATGTTGAATTAGTGGATGAATTATGAACATTTGCTAGGGATATTTAGTTTTCAGTTCTAGTCTTCTATTATTTACCACTATTTCTAAATTTAGTTTTTTAATATTTTCAGAAATTTCCTCAATATACTTTATGCCCAAATAAATCCTAATTCTTCACTTTTTTTGTGACTGACAGAAGATGACCAGTGTTTGCTGGCATGTATCTGGAAGCATTTTGGAAGGAATGACAAAAGGAGTAGTTTAGTTTTTTGTTGTTGAAGAATTAAATTAATCTCAATAATTACTTGAGGATAAGGTGGTATGATACATGATTTCAGGGAATTGAAAGAGTCTAGGTTTTGCCTCCTCAAATGGAATCTGTCAAGCATTTTAGGAAATCAACAGCTTTTTGCTGTGCTCCCATAGCAGTTTTTCATAACTCTATTACAGCAACTGTCACATTATCTTGTAGTTGTTTATACAGTCATTCCTCCATTCAGCAGATATTTTCATGAGTGCTTGCCATGTGTCAGGCGTGGCCCTTGGTGCTGCAGATAAAGTTGAGAACACAGAGGCAAGATCCTTACTCTCTAGACTGGGCACGGTGGTTCACACCTGTAATCCCAGCACTTTGGGAGACCAAGGTAGGCGGATCACCTGAGGTCAGGAATTCGAGACCAGCCTGGCCAACATGGTGAAACCCTGTCTCTAGTAAAAATACAAAAATTAGCCAGGTGTGGTGGTGCGCACCTGTAATCCCAGTTACTCGGGAAACTGAGTCAGGAGAATCAATTGAACCTGGGAGGTGGAGGTTGCAGTGAGCTGAGATCAGGCCACTGCACTCCAGTCTAGGTGACAGAGTAAGACTCTGTCTCAGAAGAAAAAAAAAAAAAAGAGGATCCTTGCTCTCTTGAAGTTTTAGTAGGGAGAAGCCAATAAAAAAGGGAACATATAACATATAAGTCATTTGTTTTCAGATTGAAATAAGAATTAGGAAGATGTTAGAACAGGAGGGGTATAGGACAAAGAGTCCTGGGGCAGGAGCAACATTGGGTAGGATGGTCAGGAGAGGCCCTCTTGAGGAGGCAACATTTGAGCGAGTTCTGAATGATAAGGAGTTGGTGGTACAGAGATTTGATAGAAGGGCATCCCAGACAGAAGAAATGGCCAAGTGCAAAGTCCACAAGCAGCAATGAAATTGTATTTAAGAATGTATGTAAGGAATACATTAGAAGGCCAGTGCGCCTGGAGAGGAAAGAGCGAAGGAAAGAGAAACAGAAGATGAAATAAAGGAGGTAGGCAGAGGCCAGACAAGGCAGAGATTTAATTCTAAGTGATAATGGTGGGATATTGAGTTTTTATCAAGGGAGTAACAATCTGATTTATGCTTTTAGAAGATCACATTAGCTGTTACATGGGGAATGATTGCAGAGGGCAAGAGTAGAAGCCAGGAAACCAGTTAGGAGGCAAAGTAGTCAGGGAAAGATGGTGATGGCTTGGATAAGGGTGGAGACAGTGGAAATAAGAACAAATTTGATTGATTTGGAGTTTATTTTGAAAGCAGATTTGATAGCACCAGCTGAGGGATTGTATGTTTGAAAGAGAAAGCCTGGTTTTTGGCTTGAGCAGCTGGGTGTATGGCGGTACCACTTACTGAGCTAGGGAAAAGTAGGTGAAGGGCTGAGTATAGAGAGAAAATAATTTCTACCCTTCTGCAAAATTGAGCTTTTCTTGAGAGAGGGCAAAGTGAGGTTCTAAAAGGTTAAGGACGTGGGCGCAGGCCCTGCAGATAGAGCCAGGACGTCGATACAGGCAGTCTGCCTCTGAAGCCTGCACCTTGCTTGTTTGTCTTTATGGTTAGAATTATAGACTGGAGTCTAGGAGGAAGGGCATTCAAGGCAAAGGAAGCCACGGCCAAAGGTGTAGAAGCCACCGAAGAGTGAAATGTTTGGAGCAGCAGTTTAGGACTTGGTGCTAAAGAATTATTTGTGGGACCTGTTAGGTAGGGTCTTAGCGAAATTTAGATTATGTTTTCTTCATCTCCCTAAATTAAAATTGAGTCAGTCCTCCTTAGAACTTTTCTTTTATTTTTTCTAATTTTTTATTTTTATTTTCTTGAGATGGAGTCTTGCTCTATCACCCAGGCTGGAGTGCAGTGCTGCAATCTTGGCTCACTGCAACCTCTGCCTTCTGGGTTCAAGCGATTCTCTTCCCTCAGCCTTAAGAGCTTAAGTTAGAGCTTTTGTCCAGCCTAGACTGTTTACTAGAAATTTGATTTGAGGAACCTGAAAATATAGGAATAAAAACCAGTGTTTTTTCTATTGTCTTAACAACAATCAACACAGAAGACTTCTGTGACCCCTAGTCACCAAGAATTGCATGGAGATTTCTCACCACCAGCCATCAATCAGTTAATTCTGCAATGGATACCAGCTGGGTATCCTCTAATTCAATTTGATTCTGACACTGTATACCTGGAGATAGCTTCCCATGATAATCTAAAGACACTAGTTGTTTTACCTATGCTGCTGACTGACTATAAATCAGGGTTCCCACTGTCCTCTCCTCGGGTTCTATTAATTTATTAGAGTGGCTCACAGAAAACTCAAGGAAACACATCTACTCGTTTACTATATAGGATATTACAAAGGATACAGATGGAGAGATGCATAGGGCAAAACATGTGGGAAGGGTGTGGCACTTCTGTCCACTCTCTGGGGATGCCATTCCCCCGGAGCATTTATGTGTTCAACTACCTGGAAGCTCTCCAAACACAGTCCTTTTGGATTTTTAGGGAAGCTTTATTATGTAGGAATGATTCATTAAACGTTTGGCCATTGGTGATCAACTTAACCTTCAGCTTCTCCCCCACTTCCTGGAGATTGGGCAGTGGGGCTGAAAGTCCCAACCCTCTAATCCTGCCTTGGTCCTTCTAGTGAGTAGCTCCCGTCCTGAAGCTACCTAGGAGCTGGCAGCTATCGGTCAACACATTAGCATATAAAAGACACTTACCACTTTGAAGATTCCAAGGATTTTAAGAGCTTCTGCCAGGAAACGGGGAAGTAGACCAAATATATATTTCATAGTATTACAGGAAACATAGCTGCTTTTTTTCTTTTTATCAGATTAAAAAAGAATTCTTGTTGGGTGCGGTGGCTTGTGCCTATAATCCCAGCTACTTGAGAGGCTGAAGTGGGAGCATCACTTGAGGCAGGAATTCAAGACCAGCATGGTCAACATAGCAATACCTTGTCTCTGAAAAAATAAAATAAAAAACAGCCAGATTTCGTGGTGCAAGCCTGTAGTCGCAGCTACTCAGGAGGCTGAGGAGAGAGGATCACTTGAGCCCAGGAGTTGGAGGCTGCAGTGAGCTATGATCATACCTCTACATTCCAGCCTGGGTGACACAGTGAGACCCCATCTCTAAAAAAATTTTTTTCTTCATTATCTAAATTTTTTTTTCTTGGGAGTTTTCAGTCAGATAATATAAGTCAGATGATACATAAATGATTTCAGCTGCAAAATTCTGTTTTTTGTTTGTTTGTTTGTTTTTGTTTTTTGAGATGGATTTTTTGCTCTTATTGCCCAGGCTGGAGTGCAATGGCATGATCTTGGCTCACCGCAACCTCTGCCTCCTGGGTTCAAGCAATTCTCCTGTCTGAGCCTCCCGAGTAGCTGGGATTACAGGCATGCACCACCACGCCCAGCTAATTTTGTATTTTTAGTAGAGACGGAGTTTCTCCGTGTTGGTCAGGCTGGCCTTGAACTCCCAACATCAGGTGACCCACCCGCCTCAGCCTCCCAAAGTGCTGGGATTACAGGCGTGAGCCACTGCGCCTGGCCTGCAAAATTGTTTTTTTATTCTTGCATTAAATGTACTGCCGTTCCTGGACTTCCTATTATACAAGCTGACTCATTATTTGAAGAGTCCCTGAGCTTCACCATTTCGCAGACCTGACAACATACAGAATTCTTTTTGATTCTTTATATGATAGTTTATTCTCTTTTTCACCTTTTCTGCCTAGATACTCAATTTCTGGACAGAAGTCAGTGGCAACTCAGATGAGATCAAGCTAGTATAATTTGCCATAGAGGATAATCTTTCAGAGGAAGCAAGTTATTATATAAATAATTTCCGCTCAATTAGAAACTGAGTATGCACACAATCTGTACAGTTCTGTTTGTTGTGATGTTTAACACCACACTACACACGGGCACTTGATTTGTGGCTTCTGATGTCAACACATTTCTAGTTGATGAGCTTTACTCATCTCTCATGTTTTGTGACTCTAGGAATCTGTTTTTCTTTTCAACTATCACACCTCTTTTATTTTTCATCTCCCAACATCAGATAACTAGATAGGAATGTGAAACTCCTTCACATAGCTCTTTTTTATTCAGAAAATAAATAATAGAAATTGAGTGCCTGTGGCATATGTACTAAATATTGTGGTAAATATTAAATATATGCTTTGGACACAATACATGTTCGCAGGATTTTCCTTTAAAAAGTGCAGTGCAAAGTGCAGTAAGGAAAAAAAGAGGAAGTATAGTTTCAGTTATTAATTTATTATCCGTCAGCCCCAAATCTATAGTTCTTTGCCCTGCTTTGTGATATTGGAGTTGGACTCTGTCAACATTTCTCCTTTACCAGCTGTGCAGCTTTAGGCTCTGTCAGTGCAGGACCTGGGGAGACAATGCATGGTGGCAACAGTAGATCGGTACTGTCCTTCCAGTTCTGTTTCACCTTCCTTTATTCAGCCCAGGGGTCCTCACAGATCAACTTAAGCAGCACTCTCAGACCTTTCTCTCCCCACCTGCAGGCTGTTTCTCAGGCAGCTCCAGCCCAGTCTTCTGGCTGGTTTCCTCCCACCAAGAGGGCTGGTCTAGAGAACAGCTTGGTCCTGTTTACACTGCTGACAAACGGCAGGCCCCTTTCACAGCCCACCTCTGGCTCTTTGGCGCTGATGCTTGTGTATTTCTCATGTAGCCAATAACCACACCCTCTTTGAAGAGGTCCGAATCTCAGCCTAGATAAATGTTATTAAGGAGCACTAAGATCCAAAGAACAAAACTGAAATAATACATCCCTCCATTATTGAAATTTATTTACAGCAGAGGTCAGTGTACTTTCTCTGTGAAGGGCCAGATAGTAAATATTTTAGGTTTTCTGACCACATATGTATCTGTTTCATATTCTTCTTTTTCTTAAACAGTGTTTTGAAAAGATTAAAAAAAATCTTAGCTCATGGGCCATGGTTTGCTGAACGCTGGTTCAGAGTATGCATAAAGTAAAATCTTGCTTTTTTCAACTAGAGAAATCTAATCTAAAATAGTGAGAAGTCTGAATTTTAGACTTACCATTTATTGTTGCATAACAAATCTCTCTAAAATTTAGTGGTTTAAGACAGCAGTAATAATTTATTGCTCTCACAGTTTATGTGGGGCAGGAATTTGGGAGCAGATTACCTAGGCGGTACCAGCTCAGTGTCTCGAATGAGATTGTGGGTGCTGGTTAAAGTGGTGATGATTTTTTAGTTTTTAAATTTTTTATCCCTTTTATGTCTTCTGTCATTGCTTTTTTTTTTTTTTTTTTAAGGTGGAGTCTCACTCTGTTGCCCAGGCTGGAGTGCAATGGCGCGATCTTGATTCACTGCAACCTCCACCTCCCGGTTCAAGTGATTCTCTTGCCTCAGCCTCCCAAGTAGCTGGGACTATAGATGCACACCACCATGCCTGGCTTATTTTTGTATTTTTAGTAGAGACAGGGTTTCGCCATGTTGGCCAGGCTGATCTCGAACTCCTGACCTCCAGTGATCCGCCTGCCTCGGCCTCCCAAAGTGCTGGGATTACAGGCATGAGCCACCACACCTGCCCTGTCATTGCCAATTTTTATATCAGCACTATCTTGATAGGTGTCAGGGTGGAATGGCCAAGTGAATGTCAAGCCCTGAGGCTGATATGCCAAAATAATGATTATGAAACTACAATATAGGTAAGAAGGTGTGAGGTTAGAAAGTAGAGATGTAAGGAGGTGACATGTGATAGAAATACATACATTGTATTATAGGAAGGGATCCAAAATGAAATGTATGACTATAAATTTATAACAGAAGCGACAGAAGTGAAGAAATACCTACTGAAAAAATAAAATTTAAACCATTCCAGTTTTCAGATGAAGTCTTTTGTTTTGCGTGTATTTGGATAGAACATAATATTTTATAATGAATTATTATTATTTTTTTTTTGAGACAAAGTCTCGGTCTGTCGCCCGGGCTGGAGTGCAGTGGCGCGATCTCGGCTCACTGTAAGCTCCGCCTCCCGGGTTCACGCCATTGTCCTGCCTCAGCCTCCTGAGTAGCTGGGACTACAGGCATGCACCACCACGCCCAGCTAATTTTTTTTGTATTTTTAGTAGAGACAAGGTTTCACAGTGTTAGCCAGGATGGTCTCGATCTCCTGACCTCATAATCTGCATGCCTCGGCCTCCCAAAGTGCTGGGATTACAGGCATGAGCCACTGCACTCAGCCTTTAATTAATTTTTAAATGAAACTATAAGTACATCACTAAATATGCCTGAAGTAGAATAAATGTAAAGCATTTTATGTGTTGATTTGCACGACTTGAATAGAGTTGCCAACTGTGCTACCCCATGTGGCTCTCAGCCTTCTATCATCTCAGACACCCAGGCATCAAAGCAAGGAAGACAACTTTGTTAGCACCATCTGGCTAGACCGCCATGTAGATTCTCTTCCTTTGAGACCGTGCTTGACAATAATTGGCTTAGATTAGGAAAAAAATTGGTATATGTTCTTATCTAAGAGACACCACCCCCACCCCCACCATCCCGCCCATGTACAGCTTTTCTTCCTAAATTATTTCTTTCTCTGGGGCTCTATTACACTTTATTTATTCTTTTTATTATCACGCTGTACTTTCATTGTATTATTCCTGTCCTAACTCTTATTATTATAAAGAAATCTCACCAAGGAGAATTTAAATCTCATTTCAGAGGTCCAGTCCAGATTTAGCTGAGAATCTTGAAGAATAACATTCATATAGAAAATGTATAGTCCATAAGTTTAATGAGTGATCATGCCATGCAGTTAGAATCCAGACAAAAAACAGAATGCTGTCAGCACCTTAGAAGTGTCTCCATGCAGGCCAGGCACGGTGGCTCATGCCTGTAATCCCAGCACTTGGGGAGGCCGAGGTGGGTGGATCATCTGAGGTCGGGAGTTCGAGACCAGCCTGACTAACATGGAGAAACCCCATCTCTACTAAAAATACAAAATTAGCTGGGCGTGGTGGCGCGTGCCTGTAATCCCAGCTACTCAGGAAGGCTGAGGCAGGAGAATCGCTTGAACCTGGGAGGCGGAGGTTGCAGTGAGCTGAGATTGCGCCACTGCACTCCAGCCTGGGCAACAAGAGCGAAACTCTGTCTCAGAAAAAAAAAAAAAAAAAAGAAGTGTCTCCATGCTCCGTTTTAGTCACTACCTAAGCCCAGCAGTGTTACCACCATTGTGACTTCCAACACTGTAGATTACTGTTGCCTCTTTTTCAAATTTATATGAATGGAATCTCATATACTCTTTTGTGTCTGTCTTTTTTGCTTAACTTTGTGAGATTCAATCATGTTGTTGCATTGTTACTGTATTCCATCTGATGAAGATGCCATTATTTATTCATTGTGTGGTAGAAGTTATTAAATTATTTTAGGCAGATAGAAAGGAAAAGGGGTCCTTGGACATTTTCATTTTTAAAGCAGCTCTTTTTAAATTATTATTATTATACTGGGATACATGTGCAGAACATGCAGGTTCGTTACATAGGTATACACGTGCCATGGTGGTTTGCTGCACCCATCAACCCGTCATCTACATTAGGTATTTCTCCTAATGCTCTCTCCCCTAGCCCCCCAACCCCCTGATAGGCCCCAGTGTGTGATGTTCCCCTCCCTGTGTCCATGTGCTCTCACTGTTCAACTCCTGCTTATGAGTTAGAACATGTGGTGTTTGGTTTTCTGTTCCTGTGTTAGTTTGCTGAGAATGATGGCTTCCAGCTTCATCCATGTCCCTGCAAAGGACATGAACTCATCCTTTTTTATTGCTGCATAGTATTTCATGGTATATATGAGTCACATTTTCTTTATCCAGTCTATCATTGATGGACATGTGGGTTGGTTCCAAGTCTTTGCTATTGTGAACAATGCTGCAATAAACATACGTGTGCATGTGTCTTTATAGTAGAATGATTTATAATCCTTTGGGTATATACCCAGCACTTAGAGCCAGGCCAGCAACCTTTAATATGCAAATGCCAGGCATTAGAAACTGGGTCCACCCAAACGTGGCAGTTCCTGCGGCCTTCTTACCCTTGCCCCACGTTCCTGGCAACATAGCCGCCCCCACATATCCACGTGTGTAAAACATCATGGTGCCCTTCCTTTGCATATTAAAAGGCTAGGGTAGGAGGGCCAGCTTTTTTGCAGGCTATGTAAATGACATGCCTGGTCAAACCAATCCCCTGTGCCCTATGCAAATCAGACACCGCCTCCTTCAGTCTCTGTATATACCTGGCTAATTTCTGCCCCACTTGGGGTCTTCTCTTTCGGCTTTGGAGCCTCCCTCCCTCTCTCTCTACAAGGGAGCGTCTTCCTTCCTTCCTTCTCCCTTCCTTCTCGCCTATTAAATTCTCTGTTCCTTAAAACCACTCCACGTGTGTCTGTGTCTTCTCATCTAATTCAAGGTAAAACAAAAAAGCCCTGGTGTTTCTCCACTCATCCGAGCCGTATCATTTGTACTGATGATGAAGATTTGTGTGGTTTCCAGTTTTTGCTTATTATGTAAAATGCAGCTCTAAACTTTGTTTGTCTTTTAAGAACATATGCAATTAATTATTTTGGTTTACACTTAGGAGTAGAATTTCTGGGTCATTAGGTATATGTGTATTTAGAGATACTGCCAGTTTTCCAAAGTGTAGTTGACACTCCCAACAGTAGTGTACAAAAGTTTCATTTTGAGCATAGACTTAGTCTCAATCTAATTCCGGGACTGGGTATCTAACTGACCCAGCTTGGAGCTGGTATCTGGTCAATTACAATGAGGGGATTAAGGGTCACATAGTACAGACATGGTTTTGGGAGGCCCACCACTGCTGCATTCTAGGTGGAAGTAGAGGCAATTTCTAAAACATCGGAGATTGTATGAACTGGGTAGATACCCTAAAAGGTTTCAGTCACATATATACAAATTAGATGCACAAGGAGAGGCTCTGGACTGGAGATACAGCTTCAAGCCATCAGCAAAGTAATGTAGTTGAAGCAACGTGACTAGATGAGATTGCCTAAGGACACTGCTTAGAGTGAGATAAGAGAGGGTAGCCTCTGTTAGAACTCTGGAAAACACCAACATTTAAAGGATGACAAGAAGAGGAATCTCTAAAGTAAACTGAGAAAATATAATCAGAAATCCAACGGAATGTGATGTCATGAAAGTTAAGAAAGAGAATGTTTGGCCGGGCACAGTGGCTCACACCCATAATCCCAGCACTTTAGGAGGCCGAGGCGGGCAGATCACCTGAGGTCAGGAGTTCGAGACCAACCTGGCCAACGTGGCAAAACCCCATCTTTACTAAAAATACAAAAATTAGCCTGATATGGTGGTGCCCACCTGTAATCCCAGCTACTTGGGAGGCTGAGGCAGGAGAATCGCTTGAACCTGGGAGGCGGAGGTTGCAGTGAGCCAAGATCGTGCCACCGCACTCCAGCCTGGGAGACGGAGTGAGACTCCATCTCAAAAAACAACAACAAAAATGTTTCAAGGAAGAGAGAGTGATCAAAAGTGGCGATTGCTTCTGCAAGGTCAGCAATGAAAAGCTTTCATATGATCTAGAGACCAGTAGTCCAGTGGCCTTCTGAGAGTAATTTTAGTGAAATGATGGGGCAGAAGCCAGATTGCAATGGGTCAGGAATGTGTGAAAGATGAGGAGATAGAGATAATAAATGTCACCAACTTGTTCAAGTCATTTAGCTATGGAAGGAAGAGGAAGCAGGCATAGAGAAAGGGCAGTCAGAAGGCAGGAGAAGCTTGAGCAGACTTACCTGCTGATGAGGAAGATGCAGTTGAGAAAGATACTCAGTAAAGTAAGGTCACTTGGAAGGAGATATGATCCCAAGCTGTGGGGAAATGTGTCAGCCCTATGGGGACACAGAAAGACTTCTTCCAGTGTAACCATAAGGGAGCAGGGAAAGATGACTGGTTTTGTGGCTGAAGTTTGAAAGAGGCTAGTCACTCAGTACATACTAGGTGTTCAGTAAAATTAGCTGAATTAATTGAGGACTAAATGACTTTATACAAGTATCTACCCAGGGGAAAAGAAGTCATTATACGAAAAAGATACTTGCACACCCTTGTTTATTGCAGCACAATTTGCAATTGCAAAACTATGGAACCAGCCCAAATGCCCATCAATCAACAAGTGAATAAAGAAAATGTAGTGTACACACACACACAATGGAATATTACTCAGCCATAAAAAGGAATGAAGTAATGGCATTTGCAACAACCTGGATGGAATTGTAGACTAATACTCTAAGTGAAGTAACTCAGGAATGGAAAACCAAACATTTTTGTTCTCATTCATAAGTGGGAGCTAAGCTATGAGTACCCAAAGGCGTAAGAATGATACAGTGTACTTTGGGGACTCGGGAAAATGGTGGGAGGGGGGTGAGGGAATATACTACACACTGGGTACAGTGCTACTTGGGTAATGAATGCACCAAAATTTCAGAAATCACCACTAAAGAACTAATTCATGTAACCAAATACGACCTGTTCCCAAAACCCATTGAAATAAAATATAATTAAGTAAATTTTTAAAATGTTTAAAATGACTGTATATAGGCATACCTCAGAGATATTGCAGGTTTGGTTCCAGACCACTACAGTAAAGCAAGTCTTGCAATAAAATGAGTCACAACATTTTTTGTTTGTTTTGTTTTGTTTCCTAGTGCATATTGAAGTTATGTTTACAGTCCAGGGCCTGGTGGCTCATGCCTGTAATCCCAGCACTTTGGGAGGCCAAGGCAAGAGGATCACTTTAGCCCAGGAGTTTGAGACAAACGTGGGCAACATGGTGAAACCCCATGTCTACAAAAAAATACAAAAATTAGCTGGACATGGTGGCGCATGCCTGTAGTCCCAATTACTAGGGAGGCTGAGGTAGGAGGATCACTTGAACCCAGGAGGTCAAGGCAGCAGTGAACTGAGATCATGCCAGTGCACTCCAGCCTGGGCAACAGAGCGAAACCTTGTCTCAAAAAGTTACATTTACTGAACTGTAGTCTATTAAGTGTGCAATAGCATTATATCTAAAAAAAAAAAAAAAAAACCATACATTAAGATACTTTATTGCTAAAAATGCTAGCAATCATCTGAGCCTTCATCAAGTCATCTTTTTGCTGCTAGAGGTAGAGGGTGTTGCCTCAATGTTGATGGCTGATGACTGATCAGGATGGTGGTTGCTGAAGGTTGGAGTGGCTGTGGCAATTCCTTAAAATAAGAGAACCATGAAGTTTGCTGCATCCACCAACTATTCCTTTTATGATCGATTCTCTGTAGCATGTGATATTATTTGATAACATTTTACCCATAGAAGAACTTCTTTCAAAATTGGAGTCAGTCCCTCCAAACTCTGCCACTGCTTTATCAACTAAATTTATTCTAAATCCTTTGTTATCATTTCAGTGAAATTCACAGCATCTTCACCAAGAGTAGATTCCATCTCAAGAAACCACTTTCTTTGCTCAGCCATATGAAGCAACCCCTCATCTGTGAAAGTTTTATTATGAGATTGCAGCAATTCAGTCCCATCTTTAGGTTCTACTTTTATTCTAGTTCTCTTGCTATTTTTACCATGTCTGCAGTTACTTCTTACACTGAAGTCTTGACCCCCTCAAAGTCATCCGAGAGGGTTGGAAATAACTTCTTCAAAACTCCTGTTAATGTGGATATTTTGAGCTCCTCCCATGAATCATGAATATATTGAATGGTATCTAGAATGGTGAACCCTTTCTAGAAAGGTCTCAATGTACTTTGCCAAGATTCATTAGAGGAATCACTATCTATGGCAGTTATAGCCTTACAAAATGCAGTTCTTAAAGAAGACTTGAAAGTGTAAATTACTCCTTGATCCATGGGCTTCAAAATGGATGTTGTGTTACCAGGCATGAAAACATTAATCTCCTTTTACATTTCCATCAGAGCTCTTGGATGAACAGATACGTGAGCAGTAATATTTTGAAAGGAATCCTTTTTTTTTTTTCCCCCTGAGCAGTAGGTCTCAACAGTGGGCTTAAAATAGTAAACTGGCCTGGCACAGGGTCTCACACCTATAATCCCAGCACTTTGGGAGGCCGAGACGGGTGGATCACCAGGTCAGGAGTCTGAGACTAGCCTGGCCAACGTGGTAAAATCCTGTCTCTACTAAAAATACAAAAATTAGCCAGGCATGATGGCAGGTGCCTGTAATCCAGCTACTCAGGAGGCTGAGGCAGGAGAATCGCTTGAACCTGGGAGGTAGAACTTGCAGGGAGCCGAGATCATGCCGTTGCACTACAGCCTGGGCAACAAGAGTGAAACTCCATCTCAAAAAAAGAAAAAAATATTCAGTAAACCATGCTGTAAACAGATATGCTGTCATCTAGGCTTTGTGGTTGCGTGTATAGAACACAGGTAGAGTAGCTTTAGTGTAATTCTTAAGGGCCTTAGGATTTTCGGAATGGTTAATGAGCATTGGCTTCACCTTAAAGTCACCAGATGCATTATTAGCCCCTATCAGCCCCAACACAGCGTTATTAGCCTGTCCTTTGAAGCTTTGAAGCCTTGAAGTCAGGTGTCACGTGCGTTTGTATGAAGAGAGTCCACCAAACAGGCTTTGTGTGAGTAACAAGGCTGTTTATTTCACCTGGGTGCAGGCGGGCTGAGTCAGAAAAGGGTGGTGAGATTATCGTTAGTTCTTATAGGTTTGGGATAGGCGGTAGAATTAGGAGCAGTTTGTGGGCAGGGGGTGGATCTCACAAGGTACATTCTCAAGGGCAGGGAGAATATTACAAAGTACCTTCTTAAGGGCAGGGGAATATCTCAAAGTGCATTATCGCAAGGGCGGGAGGGTGTATTGTCATAAGGTCAGTTGATCAGTTAGGGTGGGGCAAGAACAGATCACAATGGTGGAATGTCATCTTTTGTGGTTCTTCAGTTGCTTCAGGCCATCTGGATGTATATGTGCAGGTCACAGGGGATATGATGGCTTAGCTTGGGCTCAGAGGCCTGACACCAGGCATTGACTTTTCCTCTCTAGCTATGAAAGTCCTAGATGGCATCGTCTTCCAATGCAAGGCAGTATTGGAATCTGAAAATCTGTTGTTTAGTGTAGCCACCTTCATCAATGATCTTAGCTAGATCTTCTGGATAACTTGCTCCAACTTCTACATCAGTACTTGTTGCTTCACCTTGCACTTTTATGTTATAGAGATGGCCTCTGTCATTAAACCTCATATACCAACCTCTACTAGCTTTCAACTTTTTTCCTACAGTTCTCTCATTTCTCTCAGACTTTACAGAATTGAAGAGAGTTAGACCTTGCTCTGGCTTAGGCTTTGGATTAAGGGAATGTTGTGACTGGTTTGATATCCAGACCACTAACACTTATCATGTTTCCATATCAGCAATAAGGCTATTTCACTTTCTAATCATTCGTGTGTTCACTGGAGTAGCACATTTAACTTCCTTCAAGAATTTCTCTTTTGCATTCACTACCTGGTTAACTGGTACAAGAAGTTTAGCTTTCAGTCTACCTCAGCTTTTGACGTGCCTTCCTCACTAAGCTTAATTATTTCTAGATTTTGATTTAAAGTAAGAGATATGCCACTCTTCCTTTCATTTTAACACTTAGGGACCATTGTAGTCTTATTAGTTGGCCTAATATCAATATTGTCCTTAGGGAATAGGGAGGCCCCAGGAGAGGGAGATGGGAAGGGAAAGGTTGGCAGAGCAGTCAGAACACATACAGTGTTTTTTTTGTTTAGAGGAGTCTCACTCTGTCGCCCCGGCTGGCGTGATGTTGGCTCACTGCAAGCTTCGCCTCCCGGGTTCACGCCATTCTCCTGCCTCAGCCTCCTGAGTAGCTGGGACTATGGGCGCCCGCCATAACACCCGGCTACTTTTTGTATTTTTTTTTTTTTTTTTTAGTAGAGACGGGTTTTCACCATGTTAGCCAGGATGGTCTCGATCTCCTGACCTCGTGATCCGCCTGCCTCAGCCTCCCAAAGTGCTGGGATTACAGGCGTGAGTCACCGCACCCGGCCTAACACATACAATATTAATTAATTAAGTTCCCCATCCTATACGACCATGTTTCCTGGTGCCCCAAAATAATTACAATAGTAACATCAAAGATCACAGATCACCATAACAGATGTAATAGTAATGATAGTTTGAAATATTGTGAGGATTACTAAGATGTGACAGAGACAAAGTGAGCACATGCTTTAAGAAAAAATGGTGCTTATAGACTGGCTTAGAAGCAGGGTTACCACAGCCCTTCAATTTGTACAAAAGGCAGTATTTGTGAAATGTGATCAAGTGAAGCACAATAAAATGAAGTATGCCTGTATTTTCAGGCATTGTATACTGCCATTTCATTTGTCAGTTCTCTGTGTATTCAAACCTCCTGTGAAGGAACCTTCTGATTTCATATTCATTACAACAGAGGGTGTAGCAACTTAGAATTCTGTGCTTTAGAAATTCAGATGTGTTACTACCTTCATGTAGTTCCCATTTGTTTCCCAGTTTGGAATTACTACCTTTGTCACGAAAAGATCTTCAAGTACTTCTGCATTATATAAAAGTGGTGACTATAAATAGATGTATTCATTTAAATAGTTTATGTCTGTATACAAAATTCTATGGTCTAGATGCATAGCTAAAGAAATTATCTTTGGCTCAGGAAAATAGATAATTGTATTGATTTCACAAAATACTGTGACTGCATTTTTGGAGTTGTTTTTGGATCCTGAAACATATGATTTTGAAGATCTTTAGTGGTGATAAGAATTTATCTTTTCAAGGGGATAGTTTTTGACAAGCAAATATTATGAACCAAGTCTGTTGCTTTTTCTTACCCGGGTTTCAGCTTCTGTCTTCAATCTTTTTAAAGTAAATTACATGATTTAATGATATCTGTGGAATACTACTGAGTGAGCCCTGAAACAGCAAGAATAATGGAGTTCTTGCCCATGGATATGGAAAGGGCAAATCGTAGCACCATATTATTTTCGAAAGCCTCATACTGAGATTATTGTCAGATATGGTGCTTTTGTGGCAGGGTAATTAAAGTTGTCCTTAAAAGGCTTATATTTAGAAGTAATTGTTTTTATTTATTTTTCTGTATCAGTGTGTTAGCTGTCGCTTTTATACTAAGAAATCTTAAACTGCTATCCTCTGATTTATAGTCATTAGGCAAATTATGCTAGTCCCTGCTGTTCATTATGTATCAGTATTTTTTCTTCACCCCAGGTTAAAAAGTTGTTTCCTTTTTGAATCAGGCTGCTGCATCTTTTTTATTTTCTGCTTGAGCTCAACTTCTTTTTAGGCTATATTTTCTACTTGATACTTGACATTTTCCTAATGCTTCTAGAATAGGAGGCTGGATCACAAAAAGCTGCTATTTCTACTTTAAAGAGATGAAGACTGAAATTTTTTTTTTAACTGTTCTTTTTGTCATACTCCCTGACATATTGTTTTTTGGTTAAATGATATGTAGTAGAGTTATTGATATACAGTACTCTCAGCTAGATTTTTTTTTTTTTTTTTTTTGAGTTGGAGTCTTGCACCATCACCCGGGCTGGAGTGCAATGGCGTAATTTTTTGTATTTTTAATAGAGACGGGGTTTCACTGTGTTGGCCAGGCTTGTCTCAAACTCCTGACCTGGTGATCCGCCCACCTTGGCCTCCCAAAGTGCTGGGATTACAGACGTGAGCCACCGCACCCGGCCACTCTCAGCTAGATTTTAATACGGGAAACAACTTACCATTTTTTTAAACATCCAAGAGAAAAAATATTATTCAAACTTGACTGAGTAGGTGAGACTTATTTTCTTTTATTTTTGAGATGGAGTTTCCCTGTCGCCCAGGCTGGAGTACAATGGCGCAATCTTGGCTCACGGCAACTTCTGCCTCCGGATTCAAGCAATTCTCCTGCCTCAGCCTCCTGAGTAGCTGGGATTACAGGTGTGCACTACCACACCCAGCTAATTTTTGTATTTTTAGCAAGGACGGGGTTTCAGTATGTTGGCCAGGCTGGTCTCCAACTCCTGACCTCAAGTGATCCACCTGCCTCAGCCTCCCAAAGTGCTGGGATTACAGGGATAAGCCACCATGCCTGGCCTTATTTTACTTTTTTATTTTTATTTATTTATATTTTTGAGACAGAGTTCCACTCTCGTCTCCCAGGCTGGAGTGCAATGGCGCAATCTTGGCTCACTGCAACCTCCGCCTCCCACATTCAAGTGATTCTCCTGCCTCAGCCTCCTGAGTAGGTGGGATTACAGGCATGCATCACCATGCCCAGCTAATTTTGTATTTTTAGTAGAGATGGGATTTCACCACGTTGGCCAGGGTGGTGTAGAACTCCTGACCTCAGGTGATCCGCCCACCTCAGCCTCCCAAAGTGCTGGGATTACAGGCATGAGCCACTGCACCTGATTTTATAAATAACTGATGCTTGTTTTTAAGCCATCCAGTCTGTAGTACATTGCTACGGCAGCCCTAGGAAACAAATACAAACACTAAAGCTGTAAAACATGTTGGAAAATAAACTATTTGCTCTAAGACATTTTAAACAAATTTGTGTTAAAACGAGTAAAAAAATGTTAAACAAGATTTGGGGGAGCCTCGCTGAACCTATTCTGGTTCGGAGGCTGCCCGATTAAAAAAAAATTAGGTACATTATATTCAGTGGATTCTTAGAAAATGTGAAGGTCTTTGTCATGTTCAGTAGAGGGGCAAAGATAAAAAAATTGAGGCTTTGTTAGAAAAGTTATAGTTAAATATGTGTGTATGTTAGTATAGTATGTGTATAGTTTCTAAAGTGGTAGAAAATAAATAGAACAGATTTTTTCAAGGAAAGTAATAAAAGGAGCAAAAACTATATAAAACAAAACTAAAAATATGACGGAAATAAATTATAAGTCATTCTGAAAAACTTGGAAAATAGAGAAGACAAAAAACAAGCAGCCACAATCCCACTAACTCCTGACTTTTTATGCCAATCTGTCTATAGATAGATAAGCTCACGTTGTCATAGTCAACTAAAGGCTGATTGCTAACATTTTCTAAACATTTACCCACCTCATTAAAAACTTTGCATAAACAAAGTAATTTAAATAGCTCTATCACATCTTGTCCTATGGATCTAACAGAATTTACTATTTACCTATTGTTAGGCATTTCCATTTTATATACTATTTCCACCTTCATTTTTCCTCATTGGAAAGGAACACATTCTCATTTTAGAAAATGTGTAAATCACAGGCATGCCAAAAGGAGAAAATAAATCACCAATAACGCTATCATCTAAATTATTACAGTTAACATTGATGTATACTTTGCAGTTTATTTTCTACGCATTGTATGCAGTTTTTCACCATTACACCTAAATTGCTTCCAAACACCTTTACACATAAATCTTTGTTTGCATTTTTATTTCTATAGGGTAAATTTTGGAATGATGAGATCATAATGTATGAATAGCTTTAGGATCCTGATAATGTATTATCAAACTTCTTTGGGGAATTTTTTTTCATGTTGCTTTTCTCAACATAATCCCAGGTTAGTAGTAGTCTGAACCTAAACAAGCATATCTTTAGAAGGTTTGGACTCAAACAATAACACACACTTCGGCATTCCTGGAGCAACAAGCCTCCCCCTTTATACTCACTCCCACACATATCTAACAGATGTCTTCACTGGGATAGTCCCCAGGTACCTCAAACTCAGCATTTTTTGAACTGAGCTCTTTCTTATTCCTCTATAGACCTGATTCTCTCCTTTATTCTTTTTCTTGATAAACTGGCTCCACTACCAATCATTAGAACTAGAAGGCTAAAAGTTATCTTAAATTAGTGTTCCTTAAAATCAACTGGTAGAGGTTGTACGAGTAGTTACAACTGAACTGTCACTAAGGCCTACTGGTTGTACTTCATACAGACCTCTCAAATCCATCCTATCCTCTCCCCTCCATCGCCACTGCCCTACTTCAGATTCTTATTTCCCCTAGATTACCTTAACAGTTTCTTAACTGGCTTCCCCCACCAACCAATTCCAGATCTAAATCTATTCCAATCTTCTAAAATCAAGTAAAGTCAAATTACTTCTAGATTTAAAGACCTCTATTGCAAAGAGAAACATTAAAAAAGAAAAAAAAAAAAAACTTCCCATGAGTTGATTTGTATCCTCTTCTCCAGCCTCACCTTATCATCCGCAGCACCACCCACCTCCCAACCCTCTATTTCAGACATTCTGAACCCATCACAGTTTCTTGAACGTGGCATGCTGTTGCATGCTTCCTTGCTTTTATACTTTCTCTACTCACTGCATAGAGAGCCCTGCTCAGTGTACCCACTGTGCATGCTCTTACCACTCTCATCTTCCCACCATAAAATCTGTAGACTCAATCTCTACCTACCATCTCTTCCTTCCCTCCTGCAGTACAGCGGTCTTCCTCCTCAAAGGCCAGTCCCCCTGCTCAGATGCTCTCCATCTTGTGTCCCTCAGGCTTTCTCAAACAAACAGATGTTTTCCCTTTACTCCCTTAGTTGTCACTCTCTCACTACCTCTCACGCTATGCAAGTACATACATCAGCATACAAATATACTCTGATGTCTCTCAGCTTAAGAAAGTCGCAAACCCTCCAGTAACCACATAGCCTTCCAGCTACTGCCCCATTCATGTGCTCCCCTTAGCCAAACTTTTCAGTTCATCTAGAGTGGCTGTCTTCTCATCATCACTTCCCACTCACTCTTCAGCATACTACCATCTGGTTTCTGTCTCCAGCCCCTCAGCTTTCTAGCTCAGACCTTTCCTGAGGTCCAAAGGAGAATATCCAAATACTTGACTAACATCTACCCTTACATAATCACAGACATGGGAAACTAAATTGATCTAGAACAAAACTCTTGATTTTCCCATGAAACAGCTTCCTCTGGCCCCCTCTTCCCCGTGCAGTAACTGACTCACCATCTCCGCACTTGCTGAAGTCACACCCAGGAGTTGTTCTTGAGTCCACTAAGCTATCAATTCTACCTGCATACTTTTATTTGCTTCTCTCCATTTTTATTGTTAGTGCTCTGGGCCGGGTCACCACCATCTATTGTACCAGATTCTAAACTGGTTTCCACCCTTGCCCTCCTCTAGGCTGCCCTTTTTAAAGCAGGAAAAGTGATTTTAAAATGTAAATAGAATCACTCCATTCATCTACTTAAAACCTTTCAATAAATCCTTATTACACTTTAACAAAATAAAAGCTTGTGGACAATGAGATGCTACATAACTTAGACAGCGCTCCTCATACCAGTCTCATCTCACTCCCCGCTCCTCTCACTTACCTTACTGTGGTCCTACTGGTCCTCCCTCAATTCCTAGAACATGACAAGTTTCTTAGACCTCAGGGACATAGCACATGGTGTTCTGTCTGGAATGTTCTTCTCTCCCTCTCTGTGTAGCTAAGTGTTTTACATGTGGTATCTTATTTAATCTTCTTACCAACTATGAAGCAAACACTACTGTTTCTCATATTTTTTCATTAAAATGTATTTATGTATCTATCAAAAAAATAACTCAGCATTGATAGAAGTAACTATAGAACAAGAGCTGGCAAATAACAGCATGTGGGGCGAAGCGAGTACCCCTCCCCACTGTTTTTTAATAGACCATTTTTTACAGCAGTTTTAATTTCATAGCAAAACCACGCAGAAAGCTCTAAGAGTTTCCATATACTGTCTGTCTACCTCCACTTCCTCAGCCTCTGGTGTTATCAATATTTTGCACCAAAGTGGTACATTTATTACAACCTATAAACCTTCATTGGTACACCATTATCCCCCAAAGTCCATAGTTTACATTAGGGTTCACTCTTGGTGTTGTATATTCTATGGAGTTGGACAAATATGTAGTGATGTGTCTACATTATAGTGTCATACAAGAGAGTTTCACTGCCCTAAAAATCCTCTGTGCTCTGTTCATCCCTGTCTTTCCCATAACCCCTGGCAGCCACTGATCCTTTTACTGTCTCCACAGTTCTGCCTTCTGCAAAATGTCATGTAGTCGGAATCACACAGTCTGATTCTTTTCAGATTGGCTTCTTTCACTTAGTAATATGCATTTAAGGTTCCTCCATGTCTTTTCATGGCTTGATAGCTCATTTCGTTTTAGTGCTGAATAATATTCCATTATTTAGACGTACCATTGTTTATTTATTCATTCATCTACTAAGAAGAACATATTGGCTGCTTCCAAGTTTCGGCAATTATAAACAAAGCCATTATAAACATCCATGTGCAGTTTATTTACCATATTTTAATTGCTAGAATACTGAAATGCAGGGACCACATGGAGATTAAGTAATCTAAGGTCACACCCATAATAACCGACCACAGTCTAGTATTAATAGTTAGGAGCCCCCACCCTTTTAAATGTGCCGCTGAACCACCACCTTATGGTAAAAGGGATGTAGAACTGCACCTGGCCCACATAATTGTGTGTCCGCACCTGTTGGGACAGTGTAAGGAAGAGGTGCTGGGCAGATGGAAATAGTAGCTGTTAAAACCAGCTTCACACTGTTGAAAACCATGTAAAACAAGGCTTCCAGGCATAAGTGATCTGAACTAGAGGAAAAAGTACTAGGTATTTCCATTACAAACAGATCTTAAGAAACTGCATTCACATAATGATGTTGAAAAAGTTTATTAATTATAAATAATGTATTTTTAAGGCAATATACCCAAATATTTCAATATTTTTTCTAACAGACGACAGTAGGACAGGAAGATTGTCTAACATCTTTTCTCTGGGTTGTAGTCCTTCGTTATCTGCTTTCAAAACCAATGTCCTGTCGAAATGGAAGGAAAGAGAGAGAGAAGGAGGAAAATGCATTTATACAGGAATATAATTTCAGTGGTCCTGTTGAGATCAGTTCCAAAGGGATGACTGACTTAAATGCCTGGTTCTCAGAAGGGATGTAAATACAGTCTAGCTGAGAGGGAGCTGGTGAGAAATTACAGTAGGTGGAAGTTATTGTTGGCTGCTAGCCAAATATTGTATGTATGTATTCTGTTTCTGTACTGTATTAGCCAAATGCCAAACGTATTCTGTTTCTGTTCTGTTTCAGTCATTTTGTGGATTAACTACTCGTCTTGGGCTGTCCAGACCAGAAGAAGAAAAAATTTATTTTCACAGTGATGATTCATGTAGTACCTGAGACTGAAATATTAAGATAACTTTCTAGTCTGTGCTACAAAATGCAGTTTTTGTTAGGGAGATACATAGATCTAGAGGCAAGTAAGAGTTCATCAAAAGAGAGCTCCTATATAGCAGTTTGATTTTTTTTTTTTTTTTTGGTACAGAGAAGCAAAAAAAAAAAAAAAAATCATTAAAGCTTGACGCTCAGTGTGAGATTCTACAAAAGATCATGATGCACCACAGGATGTAGAACTAATGAACCCAAAGACAAGCTTCAAAGCAAAACAACTATGTAACTGAGGAGTACAAAGCAGCCTAACCCCAAAAGCACCATTTTTCTTGCCTCACACAAGAATTTCTTGTTTCTGTGGAGTACAAAAGTACGCTATATTAAGTGACACGGAAAACAACATTTAAAATGATGGAGTTTTTATTTATTTTATGCATATATTTTACCAATTTGCTTGTTCAGAATTTCTCATGCATTCTTATTCCTTGTTCGTGTTACATTTTGTTCACTACAGCTGAGTAGTGCCTTCAATGAAAGCCTATGAGTAGTTAAACCCTCAGTCTGTGTTGTTATAAATCCAACAACTTCTGTCCTTTTAACTGTTGAGTTTAATCTGTTTACATTTATTGTGATATCAGACAAATGTGGATATCTATCTACCACCTTATTCTGTGCATTCTGTTCATCCTGATTTTCCTTTGCTCATTTTCTTTCTCCTTTCTTATCTTCTCATAATTTGGCTAAATGTTTTTTTATACTCCTTTATCTCTATTGGTTTGGAAGTACACACTTTTTTTCTCTCTTCATTTAGTTTTACATCCTGTGGTGTGTAAGTTTTCTTACATCCTGTTTTCTTATGTGTTTGATTTCCTTTTTCCTGCAAAATGCTTTCAGTAAACATGTTTTAGTCGCTCAGTCTCAGTTTTGTTCAAAATGGTAGGTTATCTGACTATAGAATTCAAGGTTGATTGTTATTTCCCCTCAGAACTTTGAAGATACTCCTTTGCCTCTGCCGTCTATTAATTCACCTTATGTAAATTTAATTGCTTTCCTTTGTAGGCAATCTCTTTTTTTTTCAGGCATTATAAGAATTTTTTGTTTCTGGGGTTCTGTAGTTTCATCACATTGTGTCAGGGACAGAGTTAATTTCATTTTTCCTGCCTGGGACTCATTTATTATGATTTTTTAAAATAGAAATATGGTTTCACCCTGTTGCCCAGGCTAGTCTTGAACCCCTGGGCTCAAATAATCTTCCTGCCTCAGCCTCCCAAAGTGTTCGGATTACACGCATGAGCCACTGCGTCCAGCTAGGACTCATTATACTTCTTAAATCTAAGGACTCATCCTGAGAATCCTTAGATTTGAGAAGTGGGGCCTGATTTGGGGAATCTGAACCCAGGTGTGGTATGGAGGAGCAGCCCGGCTAACTGGATTAAATGAAAAGCAACAGATTTGGTTCATACCATTTGTTTATTCAAAACTATCATATCCCCCTATCAAGGGGGGAATGGTAGGCTCCTCAAGATGGGTTTGAGGTGAGGTGTAAACTAAAAGGAAGACCTGAGTTTTGGTGAGTCATTCTTGAAATTCAGCTCTGCATGCATGATGGGTTTGTGTAAGATTTTCAGAATTTTAATAATAACCCTCTAAAAAGGGTTGTTACAGGGTATGGTAGTTTCTCTTTTAAGCTTTACTAACATGTCTGAGGATTGTCAATATTCTTGGGGTTTCTAAATAAAAACTTGTACAGGAGTGTCTTTGCTTTAAAAAATTTTTTATTTTCAATTTCCCAAGTAACCATAGTTTCCTACTGGCATGCAAAAAAGGTTTAATATTTGACCCCTTGTTATTAATCACTTATCTTTGTATATGGTAATTTTGGTGTTGTAAACCTATTGTTTTTGAATTATTAATTTTTTTTACCCTGGCCTACCAGTCTCTCAGAATTGTGTGATTTTGAAACAGTCTCAAACATAACATAAAGAAAGTTGTAACCACAGTGGGAAGACTATTTTGTTTCTGAACTATTTGAGAATACATTGCAAACTTGATGCCAGTTCCCCTGAAACATAAGAACATTCTCCAACTTAATGACAAACAACCATCAAAATAGGAAAATTAATGTTAGTACATAACCACCATCTAATTTTTAGACCTCATTAAAATCTTGCCAATTTTTCCAATAATGTTCTTTATTGGCAGAAGTTCAGAATCACAGTTTAATTTAGTTGTCATGTCTCCTCCACTCTGGATCAGTACAACATTCTTTGACATTCATGATTTGACTCTTTTAAAGATTACAATTATTTTGTAGAATGCCTCTGTTTGGGTTTGTCTGGTATTTCCTTGTGATTTGCTTCAGATTATATAGCATCTTTGTCGGGAATATCTCAAAAGTGTCCCATGTATTCTCATTGCATGATTTCAACTCACCCCATTACTGATAATATTAATTTTGATCAATTAAGATGGTATCTGTCAGGCTTCTTCCCTTTGAAGTTATTATTTTTCCTTTGGGATTAATGCTTTTGTGTGAAGGCATTTTAAAACTGTGTAAATATCTCATTCCTTATTAAACTTTAAATTTATTCAGTTAATTATGTCAGAATACACTCATGGTTTCCTATCTCCTTCAGTGGATTATAATTTGTTACTATCATTATTTAATGCTAAAAATTGTTCCAGATTTTACCACAGGGACACCCTTTGACCTGCCTTCTGGGTTCTTTTGATAAGTCTTCCATCATCCATTGAGCACTTCCTTGCTTTCTAGTACAGCAAGATGCTCTAGGTTCATTTTGTCCTTATCCATGCCCAGCCCTAGAATAGCCATTTCTCCAAGGAGGCTTGCTTCCTCTTAGGTAAGCATAGTATCTGGTGCCAAGAGCTAGATGCTAGATGTTATTAGAAGTGCCACTGCTCATAGGCTCTCTCAGAAAGAGAATATACATATACATATATATGTCAGTATGAAAACATAAATATGTAAAATTTAAAATTTCTATACTTACATACACACGTACATTAAACATTTGCATCTTTTAAAAATTTTATATTTAATTTCATTTAATTATATTTCTTTACATTATTACACATTAAAAACCATGAATTCACACCAGTACTTCAGTCTAACACTACAGGGTTTATTCTACTCCCTTTCCATAATTGTAGTTCCATTCTTGCACAGGATAAATCTGACTTCCATTATTCTTGATATATTTTTTTCTTCTGCATGTGACAGTCTTTCATCTCCACTACCACTCCTTCCCCTGCAGAGATGGCTTTCTTACCCCAACTGGGCTCCAACATTTTTTTCTGAGCCTATTTCCCATGTGGAGGCCGTCTTCATCCCATTTGGGCTATGACACCCACACTAATTGCGCCTCCACTGTTTAGAAACCTTCCTCGCCACCCTTCTGTAGGCCAAAAGTTAAAGTTCAAGGTGTTGGCTCAGTTGGTTTCTTCTGAAGCCTTCTTGGCTTGTACATGGCTGTTTTGTAAATGGCTGTCTTCTCCCTGTGTCCTCACACCGTCTTTCTTCTGGGTGTACATGTCTGTCCAAATCACCACTTCTTGTAAAGACACCAGTTATGTCGGATTAGGGCCTATACTAATGACCTCATTTTAACTTAACCTCTTTAAAGTACAGTCACATTCTGAGGTACTAGGGGTTAAGACTTCAATATATGAATTTGCAGGGGGTGGGGCACAGTTCAGCTCATAATAGTGTTCTATTCAGCTTCCACTTGAGTTTAGTTCTCTTCTTCCTGAAGAAGTTCTTTAGCAAAAATCTGTGGAAATAAGCCATAATCTTGATTATACCTGAAAAACTCATTTCTTTCAGCCTTGCTGTAATCTCTTTTGTGCTGCTGTAACAGAACCATAGACTGGGTAATTAATAATGAACAGAAATGTATTTAGTTCACAGTTCTGGAGGCTGGAAAATCCAAGATTGAGAGGTCGCATCTGGTCAGGTTCTTCTTGCTGCATTATCCCATGGCAGAAGGTGAAAGGGCAAGAGGCGGAGAGAGAAAGCTCAATCAAACCCGCAGCCTCAGGCCCTTTTATAATTGGCATCAATCCATTTATGAAGGTGGAGCCCTCATGACCTAAGCACCTCCCATTAGATCCCACCTCCCAGCACCGTTGCATTGGGCATTAGGTTTCCAACACATGGACTCTGGGGGACACAATCAAATCACAGCAAGCCTGAAGTAATTTTCCTGAGCATAATATTCTAGGTTGGTAATTATTTTCCTTAGCATCTTGAAAACATTCCTGCATTTATTTAACGTGTATTTACTGAGCCCCTATTATGTTTCAGGCGCCATTCTAGGTGCTGGGGATACAGCAGTGAACCAGACCAAGTCCCTGCCTGCTCCTGGGGAGTATGCACTCTAGTGGGAGGAAATGAAATGGCATTTGTACAAATTGTATGAACATAAGCTTTCATTTCTCTAGGGTAAAGAGCTAGGGGTGGGATTACTGGGTCACATATAAATGTATATTTAACTTTATAAAGAACGGTCAGGCTGGGTGTGGTGGCTCACGCCTGTAATCCCAGCACTTTGGGAGGCTGAGGCGGGCGGATCGCGAGGTTAGGAGTTCAAGACCAGCCTGACCAACCTGGTAGAAACCCCGTCTCTACTAAAAATACACAAAAAATTAGCCAGGCTTGGTGGCATGCACCCGTAATCCCAGCTAGTCAGGAGGCTGAGGCAGGAGAATCACTTGAACCTGGGAAGTGGAGGTTGCAGTGAGCCGAGTTCATGCCACTGCACTCCAGCCTGGGGGACAGAGCAAGACCCCGTCTTAAGAAAAAAAAAAAAAGAAAGAACTGCCAAATGTTTTCCAGAATAGTTTTACCATTTACATTCTTGCCAGCAATATATGAGAATTAGTTGCTTTTTGTATTCCTAGAGTTTCTATGTCTTTCCGTGTTGCACCTAGGAGAGTTATTGTCCAATTCATTCGTTTTCTATTGACTTTATTCAGACTAGAATTTAGGCTATTAAGGTGGGTTTTTTTTGAGATGGAGTTTCACTCTTGTTGCCCAGGCTGGAGTGCAGTGGTGTAATCTTGGCTTACTGCAAACTCCACCTCCCGGGTTCGAGTGAGTCTTCTGCCTCAGCCACCTGAGTAGCTGGGACTACAGGCCTGCACCCTATATCCAGCTAATTTTGTATTTTTTGTAGAGATGGGGTTTCACCATGTTGGTCAGATTGGTCTTGAACTCCTGACATCAGGTGATCCACCTGCCTTGGCCTTCCAAAGTGCTGGGATTACAGGCATGAGCCATTGCGCCCAGCCTAAGATGGGCTTTTTACATGTACATAGACCTTTTTTGTTTCCAGGAATTCTAATTAGTTAATCATAGTCACTCATTTTTGTTTTATTTCTACCAACTTTAGTATCATAATTTCTTGTTCATTTTCTGGAAGCCAGTTATCCCTTTTATCTTTGTGAAGACACTAAATATAATTTATGTTAACATCAGTTTTGGAAGACTCTTATTTTCTCTAAAGTAAATTAATCTTAAAAATAAATGTGTTGTTTTTTTTTTCTTAGCATTTAATTCCTCATGTATTCAAATTTTGGATTACAGATTCTAAGTAGGAATTTATCCTTCTTTCTGCACTTACCCTTTTCTGTCTAGTAATTTTATATTGCTTCCAACTGGATTCCTGTGGCCTGAGCCAGCTCTTAAATTACCAGCATAAGATCCCTGTCCTGGATGTTATAGTGATACTTAAGATCATATATCAGCCAGGTGTGGTGGCTCACGCCTGTAATCCCAGCACTTTGGGAGGCCGAGGCAGGCAGATCATTTGAGGTCAGAAGTTCAAAACCAGCCTGGCCAATATGGTGAAACCCCATCTCTACTAAAAATACAAAAATTAGCTGGGTGTCGTGGTGGGCGCCTGTAATCCCAGCTACTCGAGAGGGTGAGGCAGGAGAATTGCTTGAGCCTGGGAGATGGAGTTTGCCATGAGCAGAGATCGCACCATTGCACTCCAGCCTGGGCGACAGAGCAAGACTCCGTCTCAGGAGAAAAAGAAAAAAAAATCATAGATCAAGTTCTGAAACTACTGGAAGGCTTAGCTTGATCTTCACATGGGCCACTTTTAGTCTCCTGCCAATAGAATGTCAAATTCTCAGTTACTTCTTGTTTTGGACTATTAAAAGATAATTTTCAGAAATAGGTAAAATCATAATGCTCATATGGGTTACTATGATCTCTTTCTACCCACAGAACACTCTGGCAGCACATGTGTGGATATTTTCCTCATACCAACAACCAATTCTCCAACTTTCCAAACACCATCTGGGTGCCCTACAATTTAAATCAATACTGACACTACCTACCTGGAGTTAACATCAGATCCCACAAGTTAATAGCTTAGTGCCACAAGACTGTCCCACTTAAGATGCCAATTATAAGTCCTGGGCCTCTCATGTTTCTCACAGGAGGCTGTAAATCAGGGGTTCCCATGACCCCCTCCTCAACCTCAGCTATTTACTAAAATTGCTCACAAAACTCAAGGAAACACTTTACTTATGTTTACTGGTTTATTATAAGGATATTCTAAAGGATACAGCTAAACTGTTGGATTAAGAGATACATAAAGCAAGGTACAGTTTGTGTGAACATAGTTTTCACTGTTGGGAGGTCCCAAGCCCAGAAGCTTCTGTCTCATGAAGTTGGATTATGTCACCCTCCCAACACGTGGTTGCATTCACCAACCTGAAAATTCGCTGAACCTCATTGTTTAGGGACTTTCATGGAGGTTTCATCATGTGGGCATAATGGATTTTATTAACTCAGTCTCCAGCCTCTGTCCCCTTCCTGGAGGCTGGGAAGATGGGACTGAACATTCTAGGCTTTTAATCAAGGTTTGATCTTTCTAGCAACCAGCCCCATCCTGAAGCCATCTAGCATCCCACCAAGAGTTACCTTGTTAAAACCACAGAAACTTCAATCGCTCGTGAAATTCCAAGGGATTCAGGAGCTCTGTGGTCAGGAACAAAAAATGCTTCATGGTTAAAGAGAAGCCCAAATCATCTTTTGCCCTGATAGCAAATTCCATTTAAAGGCAGTAACGCTTGACCAGGCACTAAAATTTGGAATTCGGAATGATTCTACGCAGAAATCTAGCATGTTGCCACGAAGCCTGGGGCAGCAGGGGGTGTGTGTGTGTGGTGGTGGGGGTTGTGGGGAGGTTGGCTAAAGCCCAGCTTCTCACAGTGTGGTTCTCACCCTTGAAACTTCAGTTTACCTCTGGAGCTTATTAAAAATGCAAATCCTCACAAACTGACCTTTTAGATTAAAAATCTCTGTGTATGGGGTCTGGGAATCTGTGTTTTTAAGGCTTCCAGGTGATTATTAGGCAAGCAAAAGCTTGAGAAAGCCCTGCTGTTTTTCTCAGGCCACTCTGCCTTCTTTCAGCATCTTCTGGTTGTCATGTGGGTGCCTCTATCTTGTGGGTGCTACAGTTACTTCTTCAGTAGTACACCTGCAACTTTATCAGTATATTAAATGATACTTTGTAATCATTTTATATTGCCTCCAACTGGATTCCTGGATTCTCACAGGCATTATCACCAATGGCATTTAGGAACCTGACTCATATGTCTTTAGCATTATACGGACTCTAGCATAGAATTTGGTAGGTAACGTGTAGAAAAAAATCTGGAAGGATACATGCCAAACCACTGGCAGTGGTTACCTCTGGGGAGACTTCCAGGATTATAGAGAAGTAAAGGGAGGGGCTCTAACTTTTACTCTCTACTTTTTTTTTTTTTTTTTTTTTTTTTTTTTTTTTTTTTTGGAGACAGGGTTTCCCTCTGTGGCCCAGGCTGAAGTGCAGTAGCTACAATCTCGGTTCACTGCAGCCGCCTCCTCCTGGGCTCAAGCAATCCTCCTGCCTCAGCCTCCCAAGTAGCCAGGACTACAGGCATGTGCCACCATGCCAGACTTTTTCTGTAATTTTTGTAGAGACAGGGTTTCACCATGTTACCTGGGCTCAAACTTCTGGGCTCAAGCAATCCGTCTGCCTCAGCCTCCCAAAGTGCTGGGATTATAGGCAGGAGCCATCACGCCTGGCCTACTCCCTACCTTCGTGTATTTGACTTTTATGCACAGAAAATTATCTGTCTCATTATTTTTATAGAAGAATTTTGATAGAGAATTCTGATGTGTCTCATTTTTATGTAGTTTTGCTAAAAGTAGTAGACGGTATTGTAATATCCATTATCCACACTTGGAGAACTTCTACCTATATTTATTTATTGAGAGTTGCATCTATTTTAAGACATCATCTGCCTTTTTCTTCTCATCTTAGTAGTGAGCTACATTTTTAGAAATAATGCTCAGGCCGGGTGTGGTGGGTCACGCCTGTAATCCCAGCGCTTCGGGAGGCCGAGGCAGGCTGATCACAAGTTCAGGAGTTTGAGACCAGCCTGGCCAACTTGGTGAAACCCCATCTCTACTAAAAATACAAAAAATTAGCCAGGCATGGTGGCAGGTGCCTATAACCCCAGCTACTTGGGAGGCTGAAGCAGGAGAATCACTTGAACCCAGGAGGTGGAGGTTGCAGTGAGTTGAAACTGCATCACTGCACTCCAGCCTGGGCAACAGAGCAATATTCCATCTCAAAAAAAAAAAAAAAAAAAAATAGAAAGCTCAAATGAACAGTCTTAATGTAAAAGATGATGTTGTGTTGACATTTATTGCCTATGTTGTGTTTAATACTAAAATATGTATTTGAATGTTTTGTTTTACTTATTGATGAGGTTCTTTTAATTTTGAACATAATGGACCTTCATTTGGGTCAGTGTCATCTTTATTTTTTGAAACAGCGAACACACTTTTAACCACTGATTTATTATTTTAATAGTGTACCCTCAAATCCTGAAAAATTTAAAAATGCAGTTTATAAAAGAATTATTCTTTGCACAATTACTGGCAAACTTATTGTTAATAAACTACTGTAAGGTGATGCATTAAAAAATCTGGATCAGTATGTTACAGCCACCGTGTTGTGACTTTGGTACTAATTTCTCTGGTACAAGTCCTTTTGAGTTCCAAATGCCTGTGAACCAATTCCCCAATGCCTGTTCTTTCTACTCCCACAATATCTTTGTTCACACAGTGCACCATGATATTATTCGGTCTTCATTAAGCACCAGTGCAATTGTGTAAACACAAACACCAATGCAAGCCCCCAAAACATGTTCCGTGGTGAGGTGGCCATTCAGATGTTGTAGACTCAGCACTGCTGTCCAATAGAACTTTCTGTGATGATAGAAATATGCTATTCCTGCGCTTTTGCTTTTCAGTGAGATAGCCATTAGGCATAGGGAGCTTTTGAGCCCTTGAAATGTGGCAAAGGTGACTGAGGTTCTGAATGTTTGTGTACATAATTTTTTTGTGGTTGCTGTTTATAGGAGACAGGGTCTCACTGTGTCGGCCAGGCTGGCCTTGAACTCCTGAGCTCAAGCAATCCTCCTGCTTCGGCCTCCCATAGTGCTAGGATTACAGGCGTGAGCCATCGTGTCCCACCCGTACATAATTTTAACTAATTTAAATAACCACATTTAACAAGTGTCTACCATATCGGACAGCACAGATCTAGAGCAGTGTTTTTCAGACTCTAATGTGCATGTGAATCTTCTGAGGATCTTGTTAAAATGCAGACTGGAATTCAGTACATCTGGTCTGAATCTGTGATTCTGCATTTTTTTTTTTTTAAGACAGAGTTTTGCTCTTGTTACCCAGGCTGGAGTGCAATGATGGGATCTTGGCTCACGGCAAACTCCACCTCCCGGGTTCAAGTGATTCTCCTGCCTCAGCCTCGCGAGTAGCTGGGATTACAGGCATGTGCCACCATACCTGGCTAATTTTGTATTTTTAGTGGAGACAGGGTTTCTCCATGTTGGTCAGGCTGGTCGCGAACTCCTGACCTCAGGTGATTCGCCCACCTTGGCCTCCCAAAGTCCTGGAATTACATGCGTGAGCCACCATGCCCGGCCCGATTCTGCATTTTTAATTAGCCCCAAGATGCTCCTGGTCTGGGGACCACATATTGAGAAGCATGTCTCTAGACTAGATATACTTATGTCCATTTGTTTTAGATTATTACCTGAAAGGAAATACTGAAAGTAAAAATTCTCACAGAACTCTAGGATTTTCAGGGGGCCTCATACCCCAATTTAGGGATCCCGTCCTGGTGTGCTACTGCTACAGCATACATAGTAGCAGGCAAGCATATAGCCAGGAAGGTTCAGTGAGCTTGCCAAGGGCTCACCCTGGGATGCATGACAAGTTGAGTTTTTCATTATGCTTTTCATATAGTATTAAAAAGAATCTTATGGTAAAATAAAGACACTTATTTCATCTTTCCCACTCTTTTTTTAAAAAAACAAATTAATTTTTCCTTCTTGTAGGTTTTGCGTGTGAAGCTGTGTGGAAATGTGAAATACTACCAGTCACACCATTATAGTACCGTGGTGCCACCTGATGGTAAGCTTTCTTACCATTTATTTGATTCATATGTTAATTGTTTCCCTTTCTTCCAAATAAAGAGCTGCGAGAGTTTTGAGCAGAATAGACTTTTCTTACACTATCCCCATCCCACCCCACCCTGATTGGGTTCACTTCCACCTTTTTGTGCTCCCATAATATAGCTGCTGTCTTTTGTCAAATTCCCACCTCAGAATCAGAGGAGTCAGAGATGATAAGCAATAGTCGGGTGGGTGTGGTGGCCTGTAATCCCAGCACTTTGGGAAGCCACGGCAGGCGGATCACTTCAGCTCAGGAGTTTGGGACCAACCTGGCCAACAAAGCAAAACCCCATCTCTACAAAAAATACAAAAATTAGCCAGGTGTGATGGCACATGCCTGTAGTCCCAGCTACCCAAGAGATTGAGGTGGGAAGATTGCTTGAGCCCAGGAGGTAGAGGCTGCAGTGAGCCATGATCGTGCCACTCCAGTTTGGGCAACAGAGTGAGACCCTGTCTCAAAAAGAAAGAAAAAAAAACAAATAGTTTCTGTCCTCAAGAAAACTAGAACTTAAGTGTTTACCTGAGAAGACTTTTTTTCTTTTTCATTTAATCAGGGTCTAGCTGTGTCACTCAGGCTGGAGTGCAGTGGCACGATCTCGGCTCACTGCAACTTCTGCTTCCCAGGCTGAAGCCATCGTCCCAGCTCAGCCTCTTAAGTAGCTGCAACTACAGGCGCACACCACCATGCCAGACTTAATTTTCGTATATTTTGTAGAGATGGGGTTTCGCCATGTTGCCCAGAGAGCTCTCAAACTTCTGCGCTCAGGCAGTCCACCAATCTGAGCCTCCCAAAGTGCTGGGATTACAGGCATGAGCCACCATGCCGGCCACCTGGGAAGACTTTAAGCAGATAATAAAGTGTGGTATGTGCTACACTAAAATGTTATAGAATGGTAGGGAATATGTAAACTGTAGTATAATGAAGGCATTATTGGAGCAATACAAATTTTTATAAGACTTCAGAGGTTTGTGAATTTCATGTTTGAGCATTCCTTCTAGAATTCTTGTATTTATGGTTTTTTTTAAAGTAAAATTTACTCATTTTTTTTTCTTTTTTTCCTTAACAGAAATAACAGTTATTTATAGACATGGCCTTCCCTTGGTAACACTTACCTTGCCATCTAGAAAAGAACGTTGTCAATTCGTAGTCAAACCAATGTTGTCAACAGTTGGTTCATTCCTTCAGGACCTACAAAATGAAGATAAGGGTATCAAAACTGCAGCCATCTTCACAGCAGGTATATATGTATATAATTTTACAACTTTGTCCCAGGGTTTCTGTCTCTCCTGAACTTTTGTTTGGTTCTTTACTTTTCTAGAAGTACATTGTTTAATTCATTAGATAATAAATGGTTGGTCTTTATTCTTTCATTTTTATGCATCAACACTATTTTAAAAACTGTTTTGGCCTGGCGTGGTGGCTCACACCTGTAATCCCAGCACTTTTGGGAGGCCGAGTCAGGCGGATCACCTGAGGTCAGGAGTTCGAGACCAGCCCGACCAACATGGAGAAACCCCGTCTCTACTAAAAACACAAAATTAGCCACCCGTGGTGGTACATACCTGTAATCCCAGCTACTTGGGAGGCTGAGGCAGGAGAATTGCTTGAACCCAGGAGGCAGAGGTTGCAGTGAGCCGAGATCACGCCATTGCACTCCAGTCTGGGCAACAGGAGTGAAACTCCATCCCAAGAAAAGAAAATTAAAAAAAAAAAAAATTTAACTTCATTGAATGAAAAATTAATGGAATAAATTTAATGTAAATTTCAGTTACTTATTTTATAAACTTAGCCTTAAAGGTTTTTCATGAGAAAATCTTAGTGGCACAGGCATTAGCGTGCAATTCTCAGCAAAATTTGAATAATTAGAAAACAAAATGCAGTTTTAATTATTAAAATAAGCCAGTGAATAATTAAAGTACACAAAAAATTTGTTCACCACTGTTATAAAGCAATTACAGTCTAGTATGTTTTTTGGCAGAATTAGTTCTTAGGAAGAATATACATTTTTTAAAAAACCAGAAGTATGTCATCACTTAGACATTTAAAATTTAGAATACAGCTTTCATGTTCTCATAGTCTGAAATGGTCTTAGACCAACTGCTTCTAAATAGAATAAAGAATTATTTACCCTATCCCACTACATAGCAGCTGCAAATATAGATAAATTAATAAATTTGCATTATTTCATTATGATATTAAATACTTAGAATAAAGTTATTTAGGTTCATGATTACTGTTGCAGTTTTGAAAGGGAAATAAACAGACTTTTTCCCTATCCAAGTTCCAAATTAATTAAAAGATAGAGAAGTTGGAAAATGGAGATTAATTGATTCATTCAACAAATATTTATTGAGCACCTAATGTATGTCAGGCACTGTTCTATACGCTAGAGGTAGTGCAGAGAACAAAAGGGATAAAAACTCCTGCCCTTATGGAGCTTATATTTAGGAGGAGAAAAAAACAAGATAAATTATGTATTATGTTAAATAATAAGTGTTACGAAGAAAAATAAAGCAGAGTGTGGAAGATGTGTGTGGGCAGGGGTGGGCTTGATAAGATTACATTTGCACAAAGACCTGGGGGAAATGAGGGAGGGAGTCACGTAGAGGGAAGAGAGCTCTGGGCCGCATGCGGTGGCTCACACCTGTAATCCCAGCACTTTGGGAGGCCGAGGTGGGTGGATCACCTGAGGTCAGGGGTTTGAAACCAGCCTGGCCAACATAGCAAAACCCCTTCTCTACTAATAATACAAAAATTAGCCAGGTGTAGTGTTGCATACCTGTAATCCCAGCTACTCAGGAGGCTGAAGCAGGAGAATCGCTTGAACATGGGAGGCGGAGGTTGCTGTGGTCCGAGATGGCACCACTGCACTCCAGCCTGAGTGATAGAGTGAGACTGCATTGAGGTGGGAGCCTACTACACAGTGACCGCAAAGGAGGGAGCTGGGAGAAAGGAGGAGTTCTGAGAGGTGGGGAAGGGCAGATCAGGAAAGGCTTATTGTAGGTTGTTGTTAGGACTATAGATTTAGCTGGAAGGGACGTTTCTTCCTGCTAAAACCTGGATCAGAGAATAAGGTTTTAGCCCTATGGCACAATGGGCTTCCTAATATTTCATCCTTGAACTAGACAGACATTTCCCCCAGGCACAGGAACACTGGAATGTCCATGGGCGTTTTCCACAGGGGCAGGGCCCTCTTTCTAAGCTTCTAGGGGCAGGCAGACCCAAACCTGGAAGTCAGAAGGGCCTGCACTGAGCAGCACTTGCCTGGTGGTGTGTACTCAATTAGTATTGAAGTGAATGAAATAAGAGAGGTTAAAATGATAGATGTTTATCCTGCTTATTTCTAAAAATAAAGTTAGTAGCTTTGAAACAGAAAGCACAAAGAAAGAGAATAGAAGTCTTAGAGAAAAGGGACTCTTTGGACTGAGTGCAAACACCCTATCGGGGGTTTAAATTGATACCCAAGAATACATGAAAAATTTAACACTGTATCACTAGTGCTTAAAAATGTTTCACGTCAGTCTTTTGCTATTCATACCTTTGTATAAAGGATAATATAGTATTTCAACTGAGAAATCATATTCAGTGTATGTCTTTTTTAGTAAGATTTTAAGGAGCTGGTTTGAAGTCATTTACATGTAAATTTTTAAATGACACTTGGAAAGATAAAGCGATTGGTGTGTTGCTGATTTTTTTTTTCTTCTTTTTAAAAGACTCTGTGGGTGGAATTTGCCTGCATTTAATTTGGGCTTGAAAAGAGTGTTCTAAGCTTGTCACAGTTTTGCCCATTGTGTGGGTTGAATTATTTGGCAATTTTTTGGAAAATGATCTCACTGCAACTGATGAACAGCAACCCAAACAGCCAAATTCTAGGAACAGACACAGGTGCAGACTTGATTTGCAGTCTTCCAGAACAAAAGAACTATAGGGAGGCAGACAAGAGGCAGCAGCCAGTTTCTTCGGGATGTTACTAGTGTTAGTCCTGTCATCACACATATTAATATAGCTAAAATAGCTCGGGTTGAATGTAACCAAATGAATGTCAGGCCGGGATTTGAAAATACACATCCAGCATTTTCCTGGACTTAATTTCATGTAATTATATGTGAACTATTCTGAAGGGAAAATGATAGAAAAAGAAACCTCTACCCAGCACCAATTTTTTGCTTATTGTTCAGTGAATTTGCTTTCTTAACACCTGGATTACATTAAAGTTTGGTTCAAAAATATAACAAAACCTAGGCTCTATGAGAGGCTGTGCAAAGCACATTGTGGTTAAAATTTTTCAAGACTTTTTTTTTCCTGAAATACTCCTAGGATATTTGAAATTACTGTTAGAATCTCTCCTGCCTCTCTCCCCTTCCACAAAATAAACCATACAATGCAAATTTATTTCTTAGGCATCACGTTCATTATTGTCCTCACCTCCTTGACAGTTTGCCTCTTCATTTTTTTCAAGCTTGAAAGGAAGATGAGCCCATGTGGTGATAGCTTGTGGTGCTATTTAGCTACTAAATTTTTAACCACCACAAATCAGTTACCTCTAATAATTAAAAATAAGAGAAAGGCAGGGTTTTTAAATAGTTATACCCTTATGCCTACATGTGCCAGTCAGAAGCTTGGCCATAAGCAGCAGAATGGACTCTGGCTAAGCAGAGGAGTATGTCAACAGGCTCTCATGCTGGAAGTGGCAGAAGACAGGCCCAGAAGAGGGCAGGAACTAAGAGAAGACAGGAGCTGAGACCAGGTTAACCCAGTAACCACCTGATGAGCTCTGCTGCCTACACTCCACCCTACCCCCAAAACTGTCACCTGCCACTGCTCTGGCCTTGCTGTGAAGGGTTTCCACCTCCCCTGAACCTTTGCATGACTCTCCACAGATGCAGTTTCACCAAGGGCACTACCTGGATTCCAGCACAGCTGACAGGGTGGGAGAGGGAGTGCCTGCCTGTTCCATTTCGTCCAAGGAAATGGGAGGTAGAGCAATAGAGGAGGATTCCCCTCAATGGGAATAGTGTTTGGGTTTGGGGACACCCCCCACAAAAGTAAATTGTCCACTATTATATTGTAAAGACCTGGGTTAGTAATTTTCTATGTGTTGGAAAATGGTTCTTACTGTTCTAAAACAAAGACATGCTCATGCATGATGTTTTTCTTTCAGATGGCAACATGATTTCAGCTTCTACCTTGATGGATATTTTGCTAATGAATGATTTTAAACTTGTCATTAATAAAATAGCATATGATGTGCAGTGTCCAAAGAGAGGTAAGAAACACAGCTATCCAACTATTACTTTTTTTTTTTTTTTTTAGATGAATTCTCACTTGCTCTGTTTCCCAGGCTGGAGTACAGTGACGTCGTCATAGCTCACTGTAATCTCAAACTCCTGGGCTCAAACAATCCTCCCACCTCAGCCTCCAGAGTAGCTGGGACTACCTGCATGCACCACCATGCCTGGCTAATTTTTTAACATTTTTTTAGGGATTGGGTCTCCCTATGTTGTCCAGGCTGGTATCTTCACTTTTACCTTTAGCTGTGAGGTTTCCAGAGGGAGCAAAGTTTATGTTAAGAATCTTAAATTTATCAGATGACCAAGAAGTCTTTGGAAAACCAGTGTTTAAGCTTTTCCAGCAGGGGTATAAGTGATCACCTACAGTTGCCTAGCAGGACTTTTAGTCCCGTATACTCTTTTTAGACTTTCAGGATTTTACTTTAGGATCTTGAATGCTTAACCGACATTATTGGGTTAAGAGAGAGGTAGGCCTGAAAATCAAGAATTCAAGTATACATGATTGTATAGCTCTTAACTCTTGTAAAAAAAAAAAATTGTATTATTTAAAGCAGTTTTAGGTTCAAAGCAAAATCGAGCAGAATGTAGAGAGAGTTCCCATATGCTCTCTGCACCCCACGCCCCTTATTGTCAATATCCCACACCAGACTGGTATATTTATTAAAATTGGTGAACACACTGACACATCATTGTCACCCAAAGTCCATAGTTTACATTAGGGTTTACTCTTGGTGTTGTATATTCTATAGATTGTGACAAATGTAGAACTACATGTATTCATCATTAATGTACATAATGTAAATAATCATCTTGTTTTTATTAATCTTTCTTAAATGTATATGTAGCTTACATTTATTTTAATATTTAACATTAAAAGTGTCTTGGGTCTTTATTTAGATGTTTAATGATGTTTTTATGACCAGAAATATGCTGTAAGAACCTAACTCTTGCTTATATCAATTAGCCTATGGTAAAATTGGTTTCCTTATAGTTGTTTCATTTAAAGTTGCAGTTTTCAAGAACCTGTCTATGACATTAAGAATTATACAGAATAGGGCCAGGCAAACTCTACCAAACTCTACCAAAATTCAAGGATGCTCAAGGCCCTGATACAAAATGTTTGTTATATTTGCATTTAACCTCCATACTCCCTTCATATACTTTAAATCTCTAGATTACTTACAATACCTAAGACAGTGTAAATGCTGTGTAAATGGTTGTTATACTATATTGTTTTTTCATTCATTTTGTTGTTGTTGTATTGTTAATTTTTATTAGATTTTTTTCCCAAATATTTTCAATCCATGGTTGGTTGAGTTCACAGATGCAGAACCCACAAATAAGAAGGGCTGATTGTATAGCCTTTTCAGATTCGCTTCTTTCTTTCTTTTTGGCAGGGGTGGGGGCGCATGGTAGTAGGGCCAGGGACATGAGAGAGCAAGGGAAGAGAAAATAGGATATTTAAGAAAGGGGGTACAACAGGGAAAATACTAAACAGTGAGAGAGAGGAGTGAAAAAAGGGGGAGAGTGGGAGGAAAAAAAGAAAGGCAAGAGGGGAAAGAAGAAGGGGGAAAGGAAGAGAGAGCAAAGAGAAGAAAAGGGAGTGATAAGGGAGGAGACGAGGCAGTAAAGAAGAAAGTGAAGAGGAAGGCCAGCTTGGCTTATTTCACTTAGTAATATGCATTTAAGTTTCTTTCATGTGTTTCAGAGCTTGTTAGCTCATTTCCTTTTAGTGCTGAATAATTGTTCATTATCTGTATGTACCACAGTTTATTCACCTACTGAAGGACATCTGGGATACTTCCAAGTTTTGGCAATTATGAATGGAGTTGCTATAAATACACATGCGCAGGCTTTTGTTTGCACGTAGATTTTCAAATCATTTGGTTAAATACCCAGGAACATGATTGCTGGCACATATGGTGAGAGTGTTTAGTTTTGTGTAAAACTGTCAAGCTGTCTTCCAAAGTGGCTGTACCATTTTGTGTTCCTACCAGCAGTGAATGAGAATTCCTGTTGCCCCATATCCTTGCCAGCAATTGGTGGTATTAGTGATTTGGATGTGATTTTCACCATTGTAGTAGGTGTGTAGTCATTGTTTTAATTTGTAGTTTCTTAATGATGTATGATGATGAGCATCTCTTCATACGCCTATTTGCCATCTATGTCTTCTTTGTTGAGGTGTCTTTTCAGATCTTTGCCCATTTTGTGATCAGGTTGTTCATTTTCTTTTGAGTTCTTTGTATGTTTGGGATAACGGTCTTGTATCAGATACGTCTTTTGCAAATATTTTCTCCCAGGCTATGGCTTGCTTTCTCATTGTCTTTCACAAGTTGAGGAAATTGCCCTCTGTTCCTGGTTTGCTGAGAGTCTTCATTGTGAATTGGTGTTCAATTTTGTCAAATCTTTTTCTGCATCTATTGATATTATCATGTGATTTTTCTTCCTTAGTCTGTTGATATGATGGATTACATGAATTCATATTCAAGTGTTGAGCCTTGCATACCTGGATAAATCCCACTTAGTTGTGGTGTAGCAATCTTTTTAGACATTGTTGTATTTTATTTGCTATTATTTTGCTGAGGATTTTTGTGTCTATATTCACGAGAGATATTGGTCTGTGGTTTTGTTTTCTTACAGTGTTTTTGTCTGGTTTTAGTATTAAGGTAATGCTGGCCTCATAGAATGAGTTAGGAAGTATTCCCTCTGCTTCTGTCTTCTGAAAGAGATTGTAGATAATTAATATAGTTTCTTCCTTTGATGTTTGGTAGAATTCACCAAGAAAATCCATCTGGACCTGGTGCTTTCTGTTTTGGAAATTTATTATTGATTCAGTTGCTTAATAGGTATAGGCTTATGTAGATTGTGTATTTCTTTTTGTGTGAGTTTTGATAGATTGTACCTTTTAGAGAATTAATCTATTTTGTCTAGGTTATTGAATTTGTGGGCATAGAGTTGTTCATAGTATTTCTTTATTTTCCTTTTAATGTCCATGGGATCTGTAGTTAAATCCTCTCATTTCATTTCTACCATGAGTAACTTGTTGTCTCTTTTTTTCTTGATTAACCTGGCTAGAAGTTTATCAATTTAATTGATTTTTTCCAAAGAACTAGCTTTTAACATCATTGATTTTTCTCTGTGGGTTTCCTGTTCTCAATTTCATTGGTTTCTACTCTATGTTTATAATATAGAATAGAATATATATTATGTAGAGTATATTATATACTCTACATAATAAATATTCTACTATATTTATTATCTCTTTTCTTCTGCTTGCTTTTCATTTCATTTGCTCCTCTTTCTCTAGTTTCTTAAAGTATAAGTTCAGATCTTATAGATGTTTATTCTTTCCTGTTATATGTATTCAATCCTATAGATTCCCCTCTGAGCATTGCTTTCACTGCCTTCCATAAATTTTGATAAGTTGTATTTTCATTTATTTTAAAATATTTTAATTTTTTTCTTGTGATTTCTTCTTTGACCCATGTGTTAGAAGTACATTATTTAATATCTAAGTATTTTGGGATTTTCCAGCTATCTTTGGGTTATTGATTTTTAGTTTAATTCCACTGAGATCCGAAAGCATACATTGTATTTTTCTTTTTTTACATTTACTCATGTGAGTTTTATAGCCTTCATTGTGATCTGTCTTGATGAGATGTTCCCTGTGAACTTGAGAATGTGTATTGTGCTGTTGTTGGATAGTCTATAGATGTCACGTTTATCTCAGTTGATTGGTGGTGCTATTGAGTTCAACTGTATACCCCGTGATTTTCTGCTTGGCAGATCTGTCCATTTCTAATAGAGGAATGTTGAAGTCTGTAACTGTAAACATGAATTCATCTATTTCTTCTTGTAGTTCTATTAGTTTTTGTTTTGCCTCATGTAGTTTGATGCTGTGTTAGGAGCATACACATTAAGCATTGTTCTGTCTTCTTGGAGAATTGGCCTTTTATTATTATGTAATGTCTCTCTTTACTCCTGGTAGCTTTCCTTGCTCTAATGTCTGTTTTGTCTGAAATTAATATAGCTATTTCAGCTTTCTTTTTATTAGTGTTAGCATAGTATATCTTTCTTCATCCCTTTGCTTTTCATCTATATATGTCTTCATATTTAAAGTGGGTTTCTTATAGACAATATATAGTTGGATCTGGGTTTTTGACCCACTCTGACAAGCTCTATCTTTTGATTGGTTCATTTAGGCCATTGACATTCAAATTGATTACTGATATACATAATATCTACCATATTTGCTACTGTTTTCTATTTGTTGCCACTGTTTTTTTTTTTCCTGTTTTTGTCTTCCACATTTTTTCTGCCTTTTTTGGTTTTTAATTGAGCATTCTGTATATTTCATTTTCTCTCCTTTTCCAGCATATTATTTATACTTCTTTTTTTAGCGGTTGCCTAAGAGTTTGCAATATACATTTACAACTATTGCAAGTCCACTTTCAAATAACATTATATTGCTTCACGGCTAGTGCAAATACCTTATAATAACAAAATAATCCTGATTTCTCCCTCATGCCCCTTGTCTCACGGCTGTCATTCATTTCAGTGATTCATAAGCATAGGTATACTAAGCATACATAGTCAAAACCAGTGTTAGCATTATTCTTTTGAACCGACTGTTATCTAGTAGATCAATTAAGAATAATAAAAATAAAGGTTTTTATTTTACCTCCACTATTCCTTCTCTGATTCTCTTTCTTTCTGTAGAGCTAAATTTCCAACCTATATCATCTTGCTTTTCTCTGAAGAACTTCTTTTAATATTTCTTGCAAGGCAGGCCTGCTAGCAACAAATTCACTCAATTTTTGTTTGAAAATATCTTTGTTTCTCCTTTACTTTTGAAGAATAATTTCACAGGGTACCAAATTTTAGGCTGCTTTGTTTTTTTCTCGGAATGCTAAATATTTTATCCCACTTCTTGCTTGTATGATTTCAGAGAAGTCAGGTTTAATTTCTTTTTTTTTCTCTGCTATAGCTAAGGGTTCCCCCCTTCCCTGGCTTCTTTAAGAATTATTTTCTTTATCTTTGATTTTCTGCAGTTTGAAAATGATATACGTATGTGTAGTTTTCTCTTGGCATTTGTTCTGCTTGTGTTCTCTGAGCTTCCTGGATCTGTGGTTTGCTATCTGACATTAGTTTGGGGGGAGTTCTCAGTCCTTAATCAAATAATTCTTCTGTTCTTTCCTTTCTTCTCCTTCTAGTATTCTCATTACATACATGTTATTCATTTTGTGGCTGTCCTAAAGTTCTTAGATGTTCTGTTCTGGTTTTTTTTTTTTCAGTCTTTTTTCTCTTTGCTTACCAGTTTTGAAAGTTTCTAATGAAATATCCTTAAGCTTAGAGATTCTTTCTTCAGCTATGTTTCATCTACTAACAAGCCCATTAAAGGCCTTCTTCCTTTCCATTACAATGCTTTATCTCTAGCATTTTATTTAGATTCTTTCTTAGAATTTCCATCTGTCTTCTTACATTACCCATCTGTTCTTGCATGTTATCTACTTTTTCTAGTAGATTCCTTAGCATATTATTTGTAGTTATTTCAAGTTGCTAGTCCGATAATTCCAATGTTCCTGCCATGTCTGGCTCTCGTTCTGATGCTTATTCTGTCTGTTCAAACTGTGTTTTTTGCCTTTTAGTAAGTCTTGTAATTTTATGTTAAAAGCTGGATGTGATATACTGGATAAAGGGAACTGCAGTAAATAAGCCTTTTATAATATAGTGATAAAGTAAGGTATGGAGGGGAAGTGTTCTGTAGTCCTATGATTAAGGGGACTAGGTCTCAGTCTTTTAGTGAGCCTGTACCCCTGGACTTAGAACTTCACAAGTGCTTCTCAGCCCTTCCCCCACCCCCCACCACCTTAGGTGGGATAGGATGGTTACAGGTTGCTGAAGTTGGGTTTTTCTTTTCCCCTAGGTTAACTAAGCTCTAATGAAATCCCAATCGGTTAGGCTCTGGGAAAATAATTTACCTTGTGGACAGTCCTTGTTAAGAGTAACAGAATTTGGCCAGGCGCAGTGGTTCATGCCTTTAATCCCAGCACTTTGAGAGGCTGAGGGAGTGGGGATCACTGGGTCAGGAGTTTGAGATCAGCCTGCCAACATGGTGAAACCCTGTCTCTACTAAAAATACAAAAATTAGCTGGGCATGGGGGCAGGTGCCTGTAATCACAGGTACTCGGGAGGCTGAGGCAGGAGAATCGCTTGAACCCGGAAGGCGGAAGCTGCAGTGAGCCAAGATCATGTCATTGCACTCCAGCCTGGGCAACAGAGCGAGGAGACTCTGTCTCCAAAAAAAAAAAAGAAAAAGAAAAAGAACAGAATTCTCTGGCATATTTCAAAATCACTACTTTTCCTTTCCTGCTGCCGTAAGGAGGAGGAGATTTTTCTTCAGTTTTCACTGTATCTAGTAGAGCTCCTAGAAGTGAAACTCACAAAAGTGTGGGAATGCGCCCACCTATGGGACTCCCTGGAATGCTTACATTTCAAGAGTTGTCCACGCTGAGCCTCCAGCAATTTGTCAGTTACAGTTCAGGTTTTCCTACCCTGGTACTGATTCTTTGCAGATTTCTGCTCATGAGTCTCTGCTTCGCTAAGTTGTCATTGTCTGTATTTATCTATCTTTTCAATTTTGGCGACAGCAATTTTCCCTCTAACCTTAGTTTTCTTATGCATCTAAGAAAAGTTGTTGATTTTCATTGTATTCAGCCATTTATTAATTGTTAGGATGGACTGACAACTTTGGAGTTTTTTTATGTCAGACAGGAAACTGGAAGTCTTAACTTTTTCTTAAAGAGAGCTTTTTTCATCTCAAATTACCATTTTGGCCATTAGCAATATTCTTTTGGACAGTTCTCAGCCATTATTAGTTCAAATAGTGCTGCTTTTCCCTTCTCTCTTTTTTCTTCTTCTAGTAGTCCCATTATGCCTAAGTTACACTTGTGCAATTGTCCCACAGTTCTTAGATATTTTGTTAGGTTTTTTTTCCATTCTTTTTTCTCTTTGACCTTCAGTTTGAGAAAGTTTCTGTTGGCATACCCCCAAGCTGACTGATTCTTTCCTCCCCAGTGTGTAGTCTACTGATGAGCCCATCAAAGGCATTCTTCATTTCTGTTACAGTGGTTTTTATTTCTAGCAATTCCTTTTGGTTCTTTCTAAGTTTCTATCTCTCCATTTACATTACTCATCTGTTCTTGCATATTGTGCACTTTTTCCATTAGAGCCTTTAATCATAGTTGCTTTACTATCCTACTCTGATACTTCCAAAATCTCTGCCATATCAGAGCCTGGTTCTGATGCTTGTTTTGTCTCTTCAAACTGTGGTTGTTGTTGTTTTTTTCTTTGCCTTTTAGCTTGTCTTTAAATTTTTTGCTGAAAGCTAGACATGATGTATCAGGCAATAGAAACTGAGCTGAATAGGTCTTTAGTGTGAGGTTTTATGTGGCTAGGAGTTAGATGTTTAATGTTTGCTGTAGCTGTAGGTATCAGAGGCTTTCCTCTAGTGTCCTTATTTTTGTTTCTCCTGATGTTTTGGGGTTTCCCTATAAATTCTTTCTCAAATAGAATCTGTGCCTTGTATAAAACTGGAGCCCTGTTAATGTAGTGGTAAGATATTGAGGAGAGGAATCATTCTATAATCTTATTATTAAATATATATATATTTTTAATTGGGCCTGTGTCTCTAAAATGTAATATTTACAAGAGTTTCTTAGCCTCTTTTATTCTCCTGTGTGAGGCAGTAAGGCTAGAGGGGTCTGTAGTTGACTAATTGCCCTTTCTCCAAGCCAGATAAGGCTCTGGTAAAGTAGTTTCCTATTATGGAGGACATGTGCTCAGGGCTATTTCAGAATGGTTATTTTTCCTTCCCTCCTGCCCAAAGCAGGGAGAGTATTTTTCTCTGATCTCTGATCTTCACTGTGAGAACCTGGTAAGGTTCCAGGAGATAAAACTCATGAAAGTGTGGGAGTTTTTCCTTCAATGCTAGTTTACACTGAGTGTCCAGCAATTCACCAATTACAGTTTAAGAATTCTGGCTAGTATTGGCTCCTGAGGCTTCTTCTCCCAGTAAGCTATAATTATAGACTGTTAAGGGTAGGAGGAAGAAATTCATAAGTCTATGCCTTAATAAATTGGTGATAAAAGAAATAGATCAACAAATAATAGAAGGCTCTTACTTACAGTGAGGTGCTGAGCATCTACTGGTAAATGTGGGAGAGTTTCTGGAGGTGGAAAATCATCACTTTGCAGCCAAATTCTAGATCAGGCAAGAGCCATCAACAGGGAGGGAATTTAGATAAGAAATTTCTGTTAAAAAAAGTCCTCCAGCTTGAAGCAGCTCCAGCTAACCATTATCTGGTACAGTTTGAACACCAGTGACTCCTGTGTCTTTGTGACTTGCTCCCTCTCCCCCTTTTTTTGTAAGTACTTTTACTTTTTGATATAGAAAGATGATCCAGGTTGACCTTGTACCTATCATGTCCCATCACTTTTATCAGCCATTTCTCTGAGGACCCCTCAAACAAAAATAATTTTTTAAAATTTTAATTGTATATTTGAACATTATGCGGGATTTTCAAATACAAACAAGAAAAAAGAAATTAAAATGAATCACTCATTTCAACACTTACAAACTTGCTTCCATTCTGAATTCTCTTTTAACATCAGGGCAGTATTTAACTTCAAAGAGAGAAGGGTGACAGAAATTGGAAAATATGGAAGAGGAAATCCCTGTTAAGATATTATACAACTTTCATGTCCAGTGAGTTCCTAACACCCTGGAAGGTCTTTCACTTGCTGTTCTTTGGGTTGCATTTATGAACAAACAAGTGGAAATAGATGTTTACAGGCCATCCCATTACTCCATATGACCTTCCCATCCCTCAAACCACCACATGGACCATAAGCCTTAGGTCTAAGTGGGATAAAGCACAACCTCCGCACTCCTGCCCACTCATTAGAAAACCCCTCTTGCTGCTGGAAGGGCTGTGTGTTGGGATTGAACTCCTAGGGCAGAAGCCTCCCTGGAGATGGGAGGTCAGTGAGCCCAGGTTTCCCTGTAACCTCAGCTTATGAAAACTGTATCAGACTTGCCAAGTCTCACAGTGTAAAGTAAACAGGGACACAGCAGGTATAGTTAGAAGGAAAACAATGGCAGAGGAATCATACTGGATTAACTGAAAATGAAATTTATAAAATTACAAATTTGGAGTTTTCAAAAAAGTTATTTAAACTCCATTTAACTAAAATATTCCTAATACATTGCAAATGTGGATTTGAAAATTTGGGGTATGAAAATTAAGTTCACAAGGAAGACACATAAATGAGAAATAAGCTTCTGAAGAAAAGGAAAAGATCAGAAGCCGGTTGGCGGGTGAGAGGTTTTTTCGCTCTAGGGAGATTCTTCAAGCAATCACTATGTCAGCAGACACAGGTGTTTCTCTTCCTTCATATGAGGAATATCAGGGATCCAAACTTATTCGAAAAGCTAAAGAGGCACCATTCGTACCCATTGGAATAGCAGGTTTTGCAGCAGTTGTTGCATATGGATTACACAAACTGAAGAGCAGGGGAAATACTAAAATGTCCATTCATCTGATCCACATGCGTGTGGTAGCCCAAGGCTTTGTTGTAGGAGCAATGACTGTTGGTATGGGCTATTCCATGTATCGGGAATTCTGGGCAAAACCTAAGCCTTAGAAGAAGAGATGCTGCCTTGTTGGAGGAGCTTGCTTTAGTTAGACGTCTCATTATTGAAGTTACCTATTATTGTTGGAAATAAACTAATTTGTATGGGTTTAGATGGTAACATGGCATTTTGAATACTGGCTTCCTTTCTTGCAGGCTTGATTTGCCTGGTGACTGAATTACTAGTGACTAGTTTACTAACTCCGTCATTCAAGGAAGTCAAGTTAACTTAAACATGTCACCTAAATGCACTTGATGGTGTTGAAATGTCCACCTTCTTAAATTTTTAAGATGAACTTAGTTCTAAAGAAGATAACAGGCCAATCCTGAAGGTACTCCCAGTTTGCTGCAGAATCTCACATATTTTGGATGTTGTATAAGAGTCCTATTTGCCCCAGTTAATTCAACTTTTGTCTGCGTGTTTTGTGGACTGGCTGACTCTGTTAGAACTCTGTCCAAAAAGTGCATGGAATATAATTTGTAAAGCTTCCCACAATTGACAATATATGTGCATGTGTTTAAACCAAATCCAGAAAGCTTAAACAATAGAGCTGCATAATATTAGTATTTATTAAAGAATCACAATTGTAAACATGAGAATAACTTAAGGATTCTAGTTTAGTTTTTTGTAATTGCAAATTATATTTTTGCTGCTGATATATTAGAATAATTTTTAAATGTCATCTTGAAATAGAAATATGTATTTTAAGCACTCATGCAAAGGTAAATGAACACTTTTTAAATGTGTGTGTTGCTTATTTTTTACATAAGAATTGTAAACATTGAACTGAACAAATTACCTATAACGGATTTGATTAATGACTTACGAGCAAGCTGGTTTGGCCAGACAGTATACCCAAACTTTTATATAATATACAGAAGGCTATCACACTTGTGAAATTCTCTTGTCTCATCTGAATTTAATTCCATAGTGATAACATGGTATATGTATTGTTATTAAAGTAAGTGACCCATGTCAAAAAGAAAAAAAAGAAAAGGAAAAGAATAATTCTCTCTCATTTTTGGCCTTTATTAGGAAATGCCACAGACAAATGTTATGAGTCAGTTTAGGTTGGTGGTGTAACATGAATTCTGTGGTGCCCATGCTTCTGAAAGAGCAGAGCCAAGGGCATTCATTGTTGAACTCAGATAAACATTTCGTGCCACTTGACAAAGACTCTCACCTTGACTAAACTTCAGTCAGGTTCCTCGGAACCCTCTTCTCAACTAGGCGTTAACCATGGCCTATAAAAACTGTAAACTCTCAGCACAGATTTTGTCAACACTGCCCCCCTCACACCACACACACTAAGAGAGTTGAACCAACATTTGCATAGTTTCTCATAGCTCAAGGCCACATCATTTGGATGACAACTCTGGTTCTTTTAGAATGTCTGTCTGAGAAAGCTCAGTACCCTCTGGAAAATTTACTGTTTATTCCAGCCAAAACCTGGTGATAGGTCAATAAGCCATACAACCTCATCTTTAGAGCAGTGCTGTACTTTGAGTATGTTTCCCAAAGTTGATGTGTTGGAAACTTGATCCCCAGTGTTGTGGTGTTGGGATGTGAGGCGTATTGGGAGGTGTTTGGCTCATGGGGGCACTGCCCTAATGAATAGATGAATGCCATTTTCACTGGAGAGGTTATCTTGGCAGTAGGTTCCTTATAAAAGGATGAGTTTGGCCCCTTCTTGTGCTGTTGTGCATAAACACTTGCTTTCTCTCTGCCTCCCTTTTGCCATGGGATGATGCAGCAAGAAGGGTCTCACCAAATATGCCAACACCTTGGTCTTGGACTTCCCAGACTCCAGAACTGTGAGGAAATAAAATGTTGTTCTTCCTAAGTTGCCCAGTCTGTGATATTCTGCTATTGCAGCAGAAAACAGATTAAGACAGAAAATTGGTACCAGAAGTGGGGCTATAAGAAACATCTGAAAAGGTGGAAGTGGCTTTGGAATTTGGTAATGGGCAAAGGCTGGAAGAGTTTGGAAGAGCAGACTAGAAAAAGCCTATATTGCCATGAACAGAGTGTTAAGGACAATTCTGGTCAGGGCTCGGAAGAGAATAGCTGTAGGAAGTCTAAAAGTTTTTAGAGATTTACTTAAGTGGTCATGATCAGAATGTTTGTAGAAATATCGATGGTAGGCTGGGTGTGGTGACTCGCACCTATAATCCCGGCACTTTAGGAGGCTGAGGCGGGTGGATCACTTGAGGTCAGGAGTTTGAGACCAGTGTGGCCAACATAGTGAAACCTTGTCTCTACTAAAAATCCAAAAATATGTATATGGTAAAGGCCAATCTGATAAGCTCTTTGAAATGAGGAATATCTTACTGGAAGCTGGAATAAACACCATTATTGTTATGGACTTGCAAAGAACTTCTGAGCCCTCACCAGAATTGCCCTTAATACTCTGTTCATGACAATACAGGCTTTTTCTAGTCTGCTCTTCCAAACTCTTCCAGCCTTTGCCCATTACCAAATTCCAAAGCCACTTCTACCTTTTCAGGTATTTGTTATAGCAGTAACTCTGCTCCTAGTACCAATTTTCTGTCTTAATCTGTTTTCTGCTGCAATAGCAGAATAGCACAAGACTGGGCAGTTACAAAGAATTGTTTTCATATCCAAGGACTTTATGGAAGGCAGAATTTAAGAGTGACAAACTAATTTACCTGGCAGAAGAAAATTCTAAGCAAAATATTGAAGAATCTGCATGGTTTCTTTAACTGCATACAGTAAAATGAGAGGAGAATAGATTTAAAGACAGAATTCACAATTAAAAATGAGGCAGAATGTAAAATATTTGGAAAATTCACAGCTGCCCCTTGAGAATCCAGAACTTTAGAGCTACCAGTGTGCAGCAGCATCCTGGGAGAGCTGCAGGCATGAAACCTCAACCCATAAGAGCTACTGCCTGGGCTGAGCCCAGCAAAGCCATGGGGGCAGGACTGCCCAAGATTTTGAGGACCTAACCCCTGCCTTAGTGTATCCACAAGGTGGCATATGAATTCAAAGATTGTTCTGAAGTTTTAAGATTTAATGTTGTTTACTACCCTGTTGGGTTTTGGACTTACGTGGGACCAGTTACCTCTTTTTTCCTATTTCTCCCTTTTGCAGTGGAAATATCTATCCCATACCTATCCAGCCATTGTATTTTGGAAGTACAAACTCCAGCTGTGAGTTTGATTTCAGACTCACAGCTGGAGGATAATTTGCTTCAGGATGAATCATGCCTAGATTCTTGCCCATATCTGATTTAGATGAGACTTTGGAATTGGACTTTTGAGTAGATGCTTGGGGCTCTTGGGATGGAGTGAATGTATTTTGTGTGGGAAAAGGACATGAATTTGAGGGGCCGGGGCAGAATGCTATGGTTTGAATGTGTCCCTCAAAATTCATGTGTTAGAAACTTGATCCCTAATGCAAAGCTGTTGGGAAGTGGGACATTTTAGAGGTGTTTAGGTCATGAGGACCAACGTGAGTGGATTAATGTCGTTATCATGGGAGTGTGTTATCTTGGCAGTGGGTTCCTTAATAAAGGACAAGTTCAGCCCCTGCTTGCTCTCTCTCACCCACGTAATGCTTTCTGCTACATTATGATGCAGCAAGAAGGCCCTTGTCAGATGCTGGTGCATTGATCTTGGATTTCCCAGCCTCCACTAACAAATTTCTGTTCCTTATAAGGAAACAAATTTTTTTTTTTTTTTTTTTTTTTTTTTAGTTTTTATTGATCATTCTTGGGTGTTTCTCGGAGAGGGGGATGTGGCAGGGTCATAGGATAATAGTGGAGAGAAGGTCAGCAGATAAACACGTGAACAAAGGTCTCTGGTTTTCCTAGGCAGAGGTCCCTGCGGCCTTCTGCAGTGTTTGTGTCCCTGGGTACTTGAGATTAGGGAGTGGTGATGACTCTTAACGAGTATGCTGCCTTCAGGCATCTGTTTAACAAAGCACATCTTGCACCGCCCTTAATCCATTTAACCCTGAGTTGACACAGCACATGTTTCAGAGAGCACGGGGTTGGGGGTAAGGTTATAGATTAACAGCATCCCAAGGCAGAAGAATTTTTCTTAGTACAGAACAAAATGGAGTCTCCTATGTCTACTTCTTTCTGCACAGACACAGTAACAATCTGATCTCTCTTTCTTTTCCCCACATTTCCCCCTTTTCTATTCGACAAAACCGCCATCATCATCATGGCCTGTTCTCGATGGTCGCTGTCTCTTCGGAGCTGTTGGGTACACCTCCCAGGTGGGGCGGCCGGGCAGAGGCGCTCCTCACTTCCCACACGGGGCGGCCAGGCAGAGGCGCTCCTCACTTCCCAGATGATGGGCGGGCGGGCAGAGACGCTCCTCACCTCCCAGACGGGGCGGCCGGGCAGAGGCGCTCCCCATTTCCCAGATGGGGCGGTGGCCGGGCAGAGGCGCTCCTCACATCCCAGACGGGGCGGCCGGGCAGAGGAGCTCCTCACCTCCCAGACAGGGTGGCGGCCAGGCAGAGGCACTCCTCACCTCCCAGACGGGGTGGCGGCCGGGCAGAGGCGCTCCTCACCTCTCAGATGGGGCGGCCAGGCAGAGGCACTCCCCACTTCCCAGACGGGGTGGTGGCCAAGCAGAGGCGCTCCCCACATCCCAGACGGGGCGGCCGGGCAGAGGTGCTCCTCACTTCCCAGACGATGGGTGGCCGGGCAGAGGCGCTCCTCAATTCCCAGACGGGGCAGCTGGGCAGAGGCGCTCTCACTTCCTCCCAGATGGGGCGGCCGGGCAGAGACACTCCCCACTTCCCAGACGGGGTGGCGGCCGGGCAGAGGCGCTCCTCACATCCCAGACAGGGTGGCCGGGCAGAGGCG